>NC_000013.11:89283282-89586312 GCF_000001405.40 Homo sapiens | reverse complement strand
AGAAGTAGTTTACAACTTGGAGCAAGGTGTCCACTTAAGTTAGGTTCTCATCCTCTCACAGAGGCTGGGAGACAGGGACATTACCTTCCTTGAGAGTGCTTTGGCCTTTCGAAATAATGCCTCCCACGTCCTTGAGAAAAACATTTCTGGGTTGTAAAACTGGCAAGAAGCTTTTAAAAAAAATGTTAACGTATTAAGTTGACAGAGAAAGAATTTACAAGCTTTTGAAAGCAAATTCTCTGTGAAAAGAGAAGTTAGAGCCTGGAGTCAGGAGATGCATTTCTTGGGTTTAGAATGTGTAAGGCGAAACTTAAGGCTTTCTTGGTAACTTCCTGGCTACTATTTTCTCTTCAGCATCATCATCTCTAAATGTTGAGGTGTGCCAGGCATCCCTTGGCTTGTGGCAACATAATTACAATCTCTGCCTCCGTCTTCCTTCTGTGGCTGTCTTTACATGGCATTTTCTCTCTCTTTTATTTATTATAATTGCCTCTATGCTTTTTCAGTATCATGCATTTAAACTCATTTGTGTGGCAGGTAACAAACAACTCTCCACAAGGGTGCAGGTTTTGATCAATAGGAATTTTATTACTTGGTGAAAGTAGTAAATTCTAAATTCTAACAGTTCTGAAATGCATATCTTTAACTGGGATATTTGAGTCATCAGCTCTAATTTTGTAGCCTCAAAATCTGTGTGTTAATGTCTATGAAAGGATGTGCCTCAGTGTTGGTAAAGCTAAGATATTCTTGAATAAATTTTCTGTTCCTTTTTCTTTTTAAAAAAGTTAAATAAAATATTACCTAACATGTAATCCTTAAGCTCCAAACCCCATTAAAATTTTACTGTATATTTTAAGAAAAGATTGTCATTGAATTGTCTTTTTTTCTAACTAACATAAAAAACTTTTGGATAATAATTATTATATTCATTCGATATCAATAACGTGGCTAGCAAGCTCCTCTGCCAGCTTTGAATATAAAAGCAATGACATTCTTAATTACCTAAAGTTTCTTTCTTTAAATAAAATTTTTATTAAAAATATTCTCTTTACAAATTTCAGATTCTTGTGCTTGGCTCTAATAAATGTTTTTGTGCTTAATTATACTCTTTATATGTTAGCTTATGATACTCGTTGATTTATATAAAATATACCTGGCTCAGGAATCTGAAAAATAATTAGATGATTACATTAAAATGGTTCCTCATGCCATGGAAAGAAAGAGGCCCAAATAGGAGTTTTATAGTAATCCTCATGCTTACAGTTATTATGCGGTATAGGTTTCCTACAATGCAATGAGAGCTGAAGAATGTCTATAACCAGCTTATTTACTAATAAAGCATTCAATACTGCGTTTATAAATCATTGATTGATTCAACAGTGGAATGGTGAGGCCATTTTTCAAAATGTCTATGATATCATCACTTGAAACTTAAAACTCTTTCTTCACTTTTTAATTTAACTTAATTTGTTGTTTTGGTTTTGATTTTTGAACATATTCAGTGCCCAGTATTGTGCTAGGTGTGGATGATTCAACAGCAATTAAGGCAAAATTTCAAAATTAAGTAGTTTATTTTTACTTGAAGCTAATTAACTTCATTTTAGTAATAATTCATTTTAGTAGTTTTAAGAGAACTGACATGTAAACATATATTTATGTGTCTTTATATGTGTATATTGGTGAGGGTGGTGTATAGTTTATTATCTATCTATCTAGCTAGCTCTATCTTATCTCTATGAAGTCCACTTCTTCTGTTCTGAAAAGTATTCGGCAGGTATCAATAAACAGAAAGAAAGCCAGTTAGCAACACAAAGTATTTTAACTTTCACAGGGGGCATAATAGTTTAACAGGCTCTTGAAATTCCCTGGGTGTTAAGACATCTGTTAGGGCTGAATGCCAGTGGTTTGTGAAGCTCTCAGAAGCAATAGGGAATACAAATCAAAACTGTTTAAAGGATGTTTTCCTTTCTGCCATTTACCAGGAGTTTTACAGAATTCTGTGGCTATTTAATCTGATATGAAATGGGAAATTAACAGTTGCTTTCTAACCCACATCTGGTGATAAGTGAGGCCACAATGCCGTCCAGATGCCATTCATTGCTGCATATTTTCTACTCCCCATTTTGGCTGACATCTCTAACTACTTCAATATGGCACAACATATACAGAGAGAGAGAGAGAATTGCAGCCTGGATGAATGAAATGAATAAGAACAGTCTATTTTCAGTGAAATAAATAAACAGTTACCATGAAATATGTTTCCTCCCTCCCACTAGTCTGCTCCTTTTTTGGCTAAATATGTTTAGTTGTTCCTTAACAAAATGAATTGGTATTTTAGCCTTCATTTTCGATATTCCATGAAGAATCTATTGAAATTAGCTTATTCTAAAGTTCGGATGACCAATACTGGCTTCAGCAATTTTGCTGAATATTAGCCAATTCCTAAAACAGCAATTTTCTTGTCTTTTTAAATTTTATTGTTAGCTTCTTCAGCAGTTCAGTTCCAATTCCTATTTGCCTTTTGAATGCAAGCATACATTTTGCTAAAGGCTTTTTCGATTTCTTCTTGGATAATGACTTATCCCAACTCTGTAGAGTACATTACCTTTTAATATTCAACTCATATGTCTTGCTTCTCATTTTGCAAAGCATGCCCTTCAGTGTATATAAACAGTTTATTTTCCATTTCTTTAAAATACATACAAAATTAATGTTCTGTTTATTGTGATTCTTTCATAAGACACCCTGAACATATTCCCATTTACTTTAGTTCCTTCTATATAATACTGACTTATATCATATTTGAGCAGGAAATGTTTTTGGAATAATTAAATTTCTCATTACATCTGCCCACATTTATCATTAATCCAAAATAAAACTATAAAAGTTGAAAATATTTTGAGTGCTACAATGCTAGAACTTAGTGCATTCCTCCATTTTTTCTATTTAACATAGTAAGTTTATGAAAATTACATTATAGGTCTTTTTTTATCTATATGCCTGGTTTATACATATTTTAGTTCCAACATACCCTCTTAATTTGTAGGATGAAATGTTGGGAGGACAGACATAATCATTGGTAATCCAACCACTCAAGGAAACATATTATCAAAACCTTACTGAAACACAGATTCAAAATCAATTTGTATTATTTGAAAATAAACACAAGGGAATTTACTTCATAAAAATATAAAATGTTGAGGATATTGGGAAAAATTCATTTATTTGAAGTTAAAAAAATCTTTAAAAGTCCCAGGTTTCTGCCTAAAACCTATTTTTAGTTATTTCCTATAAAAATTCCATTTTTATTTTTGCTAGGCCACAGCTCTGGCTCAGTAGGGACACTACTGTTATTTTTCTGCATTTCTGACCCCAGTGAGTAGCACTGTCACTTCCAAATAATTCTCAAAGTTGAAATGGTCCCTCAGAACTTCCACTTCCACTTAGGATGTAGAAAGCTGCAATAAATGTTGTCACACTATAAAACCTTACAGATAATTTCATATTTCATGATAAAGGATTGTATGCTTGTCCAATATGCTCAAGAATAAGGCAAAAACATTGTATTCCTTACTGGAAGGCATATAGATTTAAAATAAAAAAATGGTTTTATTCGCGGATGACATGATTGCTTATATAAAAATTCTGAAGAGTTTCCCTAAATCCCTAACAGAATTAATAAGTGAATTTAGCATAGTTCAAGAATATGACTCAATATTGAAAATTAAATTGTATATCTTTTTTTGTTTGTTTGTTTGAGACTGTGTCTCGTTCTGTGGCCCAGGCTGGAGTGCAGTGGTGTAATCGTAGCTTACTGCAAACTCTGCTTCCTGGTTCAAGTTATTTTCCTGCCTCAGTCTCTCAAGAAGTTGGGATTACAGGCACCCCCCCAACATGCCCGACTAATTTTTGTATTTTTAGCCAAAAATACAAAGGTCGTTGGCCACAGTGGTCTCAAACTTCTGATCGCAAGTGATCTGCCCGCCTCAGCCTCCTAAAGTGATGGGATGACAGGCATGAGCCACTGTGCCCAGCTGAAAATTAAATCGTATTTCTATTTTTGAGCAGTAAAAATTTGGAAAGTGCAATAAGAAATATACACACATACACATACATATAATCGAAATATCATCAATAAAATGCAATACTTAGAAATGATTGTAACAAAACATTTATACAACTTGAATTCTGAAAGCTAAAAATTTATTATGGAAAAAATTAAAGAAGCCCTAAGGAAATAGAGAGATATATCAAGCACATAGATCAGAAGACACAATATTGTTAAGATGTCAGTTGATCTATAGATTGAATGCAATCTTAATCAAAATTTTAGCTTTTTTATTTTTCGAAATCTACAGTCTGATTATAAAATATACATGGAAAAACAGAAAACCTAGAATTGTCATCAATAGAATTTTGAAAATGAGGAAAAAAATTGGAAGATTTGTACTATGTGATATAAAAACTTACTGTAAAATTTATACAAATAAAACATTGTGGTATTGGCAAAAGGATGAATATATAGATAATTTGAAGAGAAAATCAAGATACACCCCTACATATTTCGGGACAACCAAATGTCAAAAAAATGAACTAACACAATTAAATATTCTTTTAAACAAATGGTACTGAATCAATTGCATATCTACATAAAAAAAAAACACCTCAAACCAAGACTGCTGCAATATAAAAAATAGTGTGTGGCTAGGCATGGTGGATTACGTCTGTAATCTCAGCACTTTGGGAGGCCGAGGTGGGTGGATTACCTGAGGTCAGGAGTTCGAGACCAGCCTGGCCAACATTGTGAAACCTGGTCTCTACTAAAAATACAAAAATTAGCCGAGTGTGTTAGTGGGAGCCTGTAATTCTAGCCATTTGGGAGGCTGAGGCAGGAGAATCGCTAGAACTCGGGAGGCAGAAGTTGCAGTGAGCTGAGATTGCACCACTGCACTCCACCCTGGGTGACAGAGTGAAACTATCTCCAGAAAAGAAAAAAGAAAATATATATATATATATATATATATATATATATATATATATATATATATATATATATCTGAGACTGTCTCAAAAAATATATATATAGTGTGTGCAAGAGCTCATAGCAGTACATATAATAACTAAACTATGAAACTGTTGGAAAAACTAGAGGAAAACCTATTTGATGTGTGATTATATAAAAAGAACTTAGTACCCAAAAAATGGTGTACGGAAGGCTTAGTACACCAACTAATGACTGATGGTATTAGTACTATTTTTTTCTAGAGTAAAGCTAGAGGAGCTGCTTGTGCAATTAAAATTTTTAATATACATGTTTCTTTATCAAATATACCATGAAACACACTGTTAAAAATCCAAATTTTCTACAGGGGCACATTAACTCCCATCTCAAATTGCTAAGATAAAAATAACTGCACAAAGATAAGTTATTTTTTAAAAAGGCATATATATTTAGTGGTCCATTAGTGTATATGTGTGGGGAAATAGTGGTGCTGAAAACTGCAATAAACATAAGCACTCAAGTGCCTTGTTTTTAAAATTATCTCTTTGGAAGAAATTTCTGTGCTTTAAATAATGGCTCTGTATAATTATAAATTCAATTTTGTGCAAGTCGCTGTAATTTTAATTCAATATTCAATTCCACCTGACAACCTACAATTATAAATGAACTTTCATGGCTTATGTATGGCCTGAGATACTAACCACTAAGATTTATAGGGATAAGGGCCCACAGTATGGTGGTTTGGTATACAATCTACCATACATTTGTATGTTCATTTGAATTCTTAATAACACAGGGTTGCTGAAATTTTGGCAATTTCTATTTCCATATATTTTCTATAATGGTTTGTCAAATGGGAAACATAAAGTTAAAAATGACATTTAAATTACTAGGGAAGACATTCCTAATTCATCTTATCCACTTGACGCTGAGACTTGGAACTTCTGTTCTTGTGTACATTTAGTGACATATTTGTGACATATTAAATTTTTTTTAATGTTCTCCAACATGAATATTCTTCTGTTATTCTGCACAGTGATATGAGGATGTATTCATATGACATATGTTAGGTTAAAAATTTAAGTTAAGACATGCTATAGAAAAAGTGTTTTCAGTTAGTGATGCTAAATGTTCATCTAACAAATGAAAATGTCACAGTGACTTGGGCAGTGGTGAATAGTCGCTTAGCTCAGTCGATATATTCCAATTAGATTTCAAATGAGGTGGCTAAAACCTTACTATTTTTAACTAGATTGTACAAAGGGATATGGTAGAGAAATGAGGTGAATTGACACACACAAAAAATGCTATTGATGGCATAAAAGTACAAATGGAGACCCATATACAATATATATACATATTTTTAAATTATAAATCAAGATACAAATTGTTAATTAAAATATATCCTGTTGTCCTACCATGTCAAATATATTGTAAAGGGGAAAAGATTTTTTAAAGGATATATGTATAGCTATAGCTTTTCTATAAGTGAAAGTATGTAAAATATCAAAGATGACTGAATTTAATTATTACTGCAAATATCTGTATATTCCATTGATTGGAAGGCAATATTTAGTTAGAAAATTTAAAAAAAAGTAATTATTTTAAAAATATTTGTTCTATAAAGATTTTGTCTTACTCAAGAATAAAATGCATTTGTTAAAAATCAAGATTTTTATATACTTTTTATTTTATTGGCAGTAATAATTGTTGGGAGACAACTTGTTACGGGTCTTTCATGTTTCTGCATGTTTTTGTAAGCAGAATCACTGATTGCCCTTTGTTTCAGAATTTTTTCCAAGAATGTTTGTATATTGAATAGCCTTGGAAGATAGTGTTGCTCACTGTCATTATGAATAATTTGTGTCTGCTAAGTTTGGATTTCTTCTCCTCTAAGGCAATGCACTGTTCTATTTGAGTAGCCTTGTGGGAAGTGGGGATTGGGGAATTACCACAAAAGTGCTGACATTTTAGCTACCACCATTGCTATGAGTTATAAAATGTCTTGGCCTGTGACCTAGAAGTCTTCGAACAAATTAGCTGGTAAATAGCATATAATCTCTCAGCCTTCAGAGGCGTGGGGCAATGATCTAAAGATTAAATAGTAACATGTAAAATATATTCTAAATTCTTGAATAATATATAAAATGTAAAAGGCTTCACTTTAAAATAATTATTATGATGATAATCTATATATATATATATATATTTTTTGAGACAGAGTTTTACTCTTGTTGCCCAGATTGGAGTGCAATGGCGTGATCTCTGCTCACTGCAACCTCCACCTCCCGGGTTCAAGTGATTCTCCTGCCTTAGCCTCCGGAGTAGCTGGGACTACAGGCATGCGCCACCACCCTGGCTAATTTTGTGTTTTTAGTAGAGACAGGGTTTCTCTATGTTGGTTAGGCTGGTCTTCAGCTCCCGACTTCAGGTGATCCGCCCACCTCGGCCTCCCAAAGTGCTGGGATTACAGGCATGAGCCACGGCACCCGGCCGGTTAATCAGTATTTGTTATATAATACACAATTATTGGTAATCATCTAAAGTATGAAATAATATAGTATACATATTATGTAATAACTACATTATCAAACGTGTAAACTAAATATAAAAATCAAAAATTAAAATCTTCAATTATTTCCATATTGGCAAATATTTGCTTCCCCAAATATCTTAAGGTATCTAATAAAGTTCAAATAAAAATTTTAATAAAAATTAGTTATAATATTCTAAATCATTCTAAGTGATTTTTTTGAAAACTATAAATCTTTATAAAAGTTTGTATAAAAACATTTTTTTTGCATTTTTGTGTTTCCATACCCATCTAGTGGCCAATATGAAAACTATGTCAGACTTTATGCCAGTCATGTTTAGGACACATACATATAAACTTAAGCATAATATTTGATTAATCAACAAAATATTTATCTTTGCTTGAGGAAAAGAGGACAAAAATAAGCAGTATAGAGCCCCTCTGAAATATTCTTCTTCACCAGAATTCATTGTTCAAGAAAGTTTAGTGTTAAGATTGAAAGAAAAATGTGGATCTATTTTCCCTTTCTCCTAATTCAGCTCCTGTTACAGCATCTGGGCTTTCCTTCAGGCTAGACTATAAAACCTGAAAATGGGCTTCCTAGGTTCAACTTTTCATGTCCTTCAAAGAAGTAAAAACATTAATAAAAAAAGGATGTCAATGTACTTCTGTTCTAATGAAAACAAGCATGTGAGTATGACTTATCACGTCTTCCTACTTAATTTATATTAGGGAAAGGGCTTATAGAGAAGAGAGAAATGACCAACCTGTATTGTGATCTTAGCTATATGCAGAAAAATTTTACAACAGCTGCAGACACTATTCTTCTATATCTTTCTCTGAATCAGCTTATTTAGAGAAATGTTTGGTTTAATTGTTATTAAATGCATGAATTCCTGGTCCCTTGCCTTAATTTGGGAGAATTCTACAAGGCCATCTTGGCTCCAGGATTTTGTGGAATTGAGTAAGACCTTTATTATGACTGCACTGCAGTCAATGCCTCTCTCTGATGATTTTTTTTCTTTTATTTTCTCATCGTAGTTGATTCCAAGAGCACTCCCCAATTATACCTTGCACGCAAATATCAGTCTCAGAGTCTGTTCCATAGAAAACCCTGCCTAAGAGAGTTAATGCCTGAAACAATCCAAGGAAACAGACTGTAAAATAGAGTTTGGGTGCTGAGTCATCTACTGGGGAGCTAAGACTAATTATCCCATCACTGGTGGTAGGTGTCCCACTGTCCTTGACATACCATGTGCTACAATTTGTTAAGCTATTTTTTTCCTTTTTTTTTTTTCCCCCTAGTGGTGAAGTTAGATGAGATACCAATGAAAGAGAATGTATTAATGGGTGATGGGAGATGGGTGATGGTTGAACCTAGAGAGGTTAAAGTGCAGGGGTAATGGCAAAGACAATAAACATGAATGCCTTGGAGAAAAGCAATAAAATGATGATGGTGATTAGTTGATCAAATGAGAGCCATCTGTAAAAGTCAGAGGGTCTCTTTTGCAGTATATAAAAAGACTCATTTACTGCAGCAGGTGGGGCAGAAAGTGCTGATGATAAAGCCTAGCACTTAATTTTAAGAGTAGTAGAGTACTAAAGAAGTTTGGATTCTCTTCCTTAGCTAGTCTTCTATACAGACATAAGGCTTTCATTGGAGAAAAGGGGGATCCTGAGACTTGGGATGGCAATGTTTGGATAACTCCACTTGAAAAACCATGTGTTAGGAAAAGGCAATACATAACCAAGTAGGCAGAATGACTTCACCAACTAATGTTGGCCAGCCCAATGCTGGTATGATGGGCAGTTATAATGTATCCATAATACAGCTGTGGAGGATATGGGGTGTGAGTTGGCCCAACACTGTATTCTCTACTCATATAGACTGACCCAATTACTGCTTCTGTTGGAAGTACAACCTGCCAGTACGAGACCCATGCTATATCCTAGTACAGCATCACCACATGAAGAGATCTAATGACAACAACTCAGTCACAATTGATTATGTCGTCCTTCTTGCATTCTACAAGGGGAGTGATATATCTTGACTTAAAATGACACATATTGGGAATCGGCTTTGCTTTTTCTTCTGACATTTCCGTATTGTCTCACATTGCCCCATGCAGAAGCTGCCATCATGAAAGAGTAATTAAATAGACTTTTGAAGCTACATCTTTAGTGCCAGTTTGGAGACAGTGCCCCAAGGATGTAGTGCCATTCTTCAGAATGCACTATAAGCTATACGTCAAATAAGGTTATATAGCACCACATCTTCAATAAATGAAAAGCATCAATTTAGGAACCAAAAGGTAGAAAGAGTAGCCTACTATCTGTCTCCCACTTGACTTCAGGTGATTTGTGATTTCCTTTCTCGTAAGTTTGGACTTTAAAAGTTTGACGTCTTGGTTTCCAGAGAGAAATGGTCCTGTGTAAGAGGATACGTAAAAATAAAATTAAACTTCAAGCTATGGGTGCCATTGAATAACTTTGTGTTCCTTAGGTGAAAAGATCAGTTAGCAAGGAAAGGAGTCATGATCCTGGTAGTGCAATCGACAATGCTAATTTGAAGGGTGTAGGGTGTTGAAAATGGGGGCTAATTTGTTTTACTTAACATAATGTCCCCCAGGTTAATCCATGTTGTTACATGTCAAGATTTCCTCCTTTTTAAAAGCTGACTAGTGTTCCATTATATGTATATACCACATTTTCTTATCCATGTAGCCATTGATGAACATTTAATTGTTTCCATGTCTTGCTATTGTGATCGACGCTTTAATGAACACAGATGTACAAATCTCTCTTTGAGATGGTGATTTTAATTGTTTTGGATAAATACCCACAAGTGGGATTTCAGGATCATATGACATTTCTATTTTTTAATTTTTTGAGGAACTACCGTACTGTTTTCCCTAGTAGCTTCGTTATACTGAGGGAAATAAGCCAGTCACAGAAGGATGAATACTGCATGATTTCACTAACATGAGATATCTGAAATAGCCAAACATACAGAAGCAGAGAATAGAATGGTGGTTGCCAGGTACTGAGGAGAGGAGGAAGGAGGGAATTGCTACGCAACAAGTATAAAGTTTCGGTTGTTCAAGATAATTAAGTTCAAGATATTTGCTATACCTTGTGCCTCTATATAACAATACCATATTGCACACATACAAATTTGTAAAAAGGCAGATATCACGAAAAATATTATTACTACAATAAAAAAATACAGGCAAAGAGTAAAATAGAAAACAACGATGAGGGTAGAGGGGAATATCTTCGGCATTTAGATGACTTACAGAGGTGCTCTTGGTATTACTTGGTTCAGTTTTGATAATAAATGGATGTGTGTAGCATTCACAGACTAAGAAAGTCATGATGATCAGAGATTCAGATCCCCCAAGGCTGATGGTCTGAATCTTGCCACCAGACAAACCCCTTAGATGGTGACAGAAGTCTGGAATGCTTTATAGAAGAAAGAGAAAATGAGCATCACTGGCAGCCTCTAGTTTGTTTCCGCCAACTTCCCTCATATGTTTCCCAGGAAAAGAGAGCAACAATTCTGCAGCTCTTCCTAGAAGTACTCATATAAAGAATACAGAATAAAGCAGTACAAAGCATGAACTATTATATAATGCAAGTCATGGCCTATTATTCAGGTCCCTTCCTGAAGACTTAGGCACTACTTCCTCTGGCTGCTGGGAGTATTGGCAGCTGAGGGCTCAACTGAGATAATGTTGAGGAATTACCTTTGGCTAAAGAGAGTCTCCTCATTCAAGTTTACCTTATCTTCTTGGAACCGTCCACATTCAGAGACTGGATACTTTTTCCTCCAGGCAGGGCCATTTTGAAGGGCCATCTCAATTCCAGAGCTCTCCGTGGGACTGACTGATGAAGCTTCTGTTGTGGGACTGACTGATGAAGCCTCCGTGGTCACTGAACTACAGTTCAAATCCACTCTCTGAGCAATCCTACATCTTTCACTCTCCAATGAACTGCCTGAGTACAAACCTGCCTCCCAGAGTCTGTTTCTAGGGACACTGACCTAAGACAACAAATTGTATATAAGATTAAGTTTGTTCTATTATTTAGCTTTAATTCTGAAGTATACTTGTTTATACTCATTGCAGTTAGTTGCTACTGTAGTATTTTCTTCCTCTAAGTGTTTTTATGAGGAAAAAGTATCAGACATTTTATCCTTTGTGTTTCAAGGCTGATGCTAAATTATCTGTCATTTATTCTGTATTTCTACTTACATAATTAATGAATAAGTTGCCTTTTGGGATTTAGCAGATTTTTTCTCAATTTTTGTTCAACTGTACAGTGTAAACTTAAGTTGAAATCTCAAATAAAAAACAAAGTGGGTTGTTTGACAGTGGACATTGCCCTAATTATTATGACTTTTCCCTAACCAGAAACAGACTGGGTAAAATCCACTTGACTTTAAGTGGATGAATAATCACTCTTCTAAGGTGTTTATACTCTTCTAAGGTGTACTATGGATATGAATAAGACAAGGGATCCTTGATGGGTATCTACCAGTTTGACAGCCTAGTTGCAAGCAAAAGGAAAAAAAATCTGCATATATAATCACAAAAAGCATTTGTTAAAAAGGCATTGAGTGCCTCACCAATTGCCACTTGTGTTTTTGTGTGAGTATGTGTGTGTATGTGTATGTGTATGTAATTTTCTTATTCTCAATCAATTCCTCTAGAATTTTTCTTTTAAGATCCATAAACATTTTAGCCTTTGTGGGCCATACAATCAACCACACTTGCTCAAAACTGCCTTTGTAGCACTGAAGAAATTATAGATAACGTGTAAAAGAAAAAGAAAGAACATGACTCTGTTCCAAGAAAACTGATTACGAAGATAGGTAACAGGACAGATTTGTTGCAAGACCTACTTTACTGACCCCTGCTTAAACAAACAGTGAATTCATTCAACTTTCCAGAGTCAGATTGGAAAGTAAGTCACGATATATAGGGTTAAATAAAACCCATCTGATGTTAATTTATTGTTCGTAGGGCATGACTCTCCAGAACCCCTAGATAGGAATAGGAATTTGGGCAAGATTAAAAATAAAACCAGTTTAGTCCTCATCTCTTTTGTCCACAGATTGTTTGCCTATATATATTTATGTTCTGTTCCCTGGAATATTTCCTCATGAAGGGACTTAGTTTTTTGTTGTTGTTGTTGTTGTTGTTGTTTTTCTGCATATTTTTTGAGAGGTCTGTGGGTTTAAGCAACCTCATAGATCCTTAGAATATTCCATTGTTCCCTTGCAATTAACCTTTCCAGTTTTATCTTCAGATTGCAGAAACACTGTTGAGGCTTTCTTCCTATGTGACAAACCCTCCTTTCAGTGTATGAACTAGTTGGTGATTTTTAAGCTATGTGTTTCTTAGGACTAACAGAAGCCTCTCTTGTCTTCCCTCCTGTAGTTACTGTTTGTTTAACTTTTACATGCACTTCTTTCCTGCCATTGGTGGCTAGGCCCCATCTGCATTAGTTTTTGAGGTGTGTGGCATTACCACACCTAGTTAAGGTGGTTTTTTTTTTTCTTTTTCCACCTTTGTTTCTCCCTTACCTCTGAGGAGATTAGGACAGATTCAAAAGGTATCACAATGATGCCATCTGCCATTTCCTCATCTGTTTTAATAATTACCATACTCTATTGTGTGGTTGATCAAGATGATCTTAATGTTCTTCTCAGCTTGACTCAACTGTAAATAAGCTTCCTTCTGACTACAGGCCACTGACCTCCCTTTTCTTAGATCATTTAAGTACTTTATAAAATTTGCAATTATAAATTTTTGATCTAACCCTTTGAGGTATGATTCTCTTCTTAGCCTCTTAGCAGTTTTACAGCTCAAGACTGTCTTTCTTAAGGACCTGGGAGACATCATTTTGAAATGTTATCGTCAAGAAGGATAGAGCCCCTATCTTCCAGTCTCTGTGGGAGGGTAGAAGTCTAACTTTAGCAAATAGCAGTTAGCAAATACTGTTGGCCTAATCACACTGACCAATTATAATGTCCCCAGTACTTTTCTACTAGGTCAGACCAGCATCAAATACCTGCCCACATTTTGTTTCAGTGGAGTTGAGTTCAATCTCTTTCCCCGATTGCAATAGCTTTGACCTCTATTGCAACAGTCCTGAATAAAGTTTTCCTTTCCTGTTTAACTCTGTCCAGTGCGATTTTTCTTTGACATGTTTGGGTATAGATATATATTTTTTGAGACTGAGTTTCATTCTTGTTGCCCAGGCTGGAGTGGAATGGTGCAATCTCGGCTCACTGCAATCTCCACCTCCTGGGTTCAAGCAATTCTCCTGCCTCAGCATCCAGAGTAGCTGGGATTACAGGCATGAGCCACTGTACCCTGCCGTTTGGCTATAATTTACTCAACCATTACCTTATTATTAGAGACACAGTGGCCACAGTTTTACGTGTATTTGTTTAGTTTTCAGTTTGTTTTGTTTTGTTTTTCTACTTAATATTATAAACTATATTTGAAAACGTAATCTGACAAAAAATTTATTTTCTATGAGATGAAATTAGGAATGCTGATGCGAGAATTATGTGCTTTTGAAATTGCAATTGATGTTAACAAATTACTTTTCTACAATTTTCAAAAATTCCCCTTGAGATGCTTGAATGTGATTACCTCCAATACATTTGATTAATCTTTTCAATATTTTCTCCTTAGATGAATAAAAATATTATCTAGTATTATCCAAACTTACATTTGAATATTCATAATGATGAGTTAGGTTAAATATAAGAGATAAAGAAAGAGGAAAGAAACACAAAATTCAGCTCAATAGTTAAAGATAGATTTACTTTAGATAAAACCTGAGAGGGGCTTCTGGCCAATTTCTGTCAGGAGTGCTTTCTCTTACAGACTAAGAGTATATATTGGTTTTAGGGTGAAGGGGCTTATCACAAGCTTGGAATGTTTATATGTGGGGGAGAAGTTTATGGCAGGGTTGGAATGTCTCTGGGTGGAGGGGAGGTTACCTTGGGGAAGACATCTTTCTGGCCAGAGGGGGGTTAACTCAGGGCTGGCATCTTCCTGGCTGGAAGGGGGTTATCTTGGGGCTAGCATGTCTGTGGTCAGGGAGGAGTTTGGAATGTCTCTGATTGGAGATGTTATTTGTGGTTTATGGTCGTGCTGACCTTAGCTATTAGGCTGATGCCCTTTGGATTTAGGTGGTTTTTTTATTAAGGTGAACTTTAGAATGAGGGGCTTGTTCAAGATGGCGATACTCCTGCTCTGTCATTAAACTGTATCTTTTTTTCCCTCTCAATTTCTTATTGGATTTCTATTATCAAATTTTAAAAATTATTCTACATGTTAATAAACAAAAGTCTGTCATTTATACTGCAAAAATACTCCCCACGTCTCTTGATATATACATGTATTTTGTTCCTTTGTCTTATTTTTTAATTGCATTAAGTCAAGCCATTATTATTTTTTTGTCATAGCTTCCTGATTAACACTTAACTTTTTGCTATTTTATAGCCTAGGAAAGGGAGAGCATCCTTTCATGATGAATAGGAATTTTCCACATTCTACATTTCTGAAAATATAATTAACAAAACAAGGGCAAACTCACAACTAAAAGAAAACCTATAGTTATCGGAAAATATAAAATTAGAATGCATTTTCAATACGTTTGCTATACTTTTTAAATCAGTGGAAAATCCAGAATCATTTAATTCAGAACTCTTTAGTATTTTACTTAATGTAGCTCCTTTTGTGGGTGTTGGTCAAAGTAAAATGTGTGGCATATCAGTTGCTCAGTACCTGCTGTTACTTGTGATTAAGAGACAGACACTGTTCAGAGGAAATTGGCTTGTAATTACTAGAAAGAGCAGGCAATCAACACAAGTATTGTCTTTTTATATTTTAAAGAGAGAGAGAGAATGAAATTAAGCCAGAACCTTTATTTGAACATCACAACTCATTTAACATAAAACTATTTTCACGAAATATCTACCACCCATGGTGATGTCTCCCAGCAATGTCAGCTGTCTCTGTGTTTATAAGAAACTAACCTGAACTTTTATGACCTTACATCATTCTGAAAAATTGCCAGAAAAAAATATAAGGATACTTTAGGCCTTCTTTTCTGTCTCTGGATTGAAATTTTTAAATAATTAGCATATTACTAGATTTAATCAACTTCAGCGACAATGTTTCAATCTTGGGTTTCTTTTCCTAAATTTCCCATATATGGGTTGAATACACCTAATCAAAAATGCTTGGAAACAGAAGTGTTTTGGATTTTGGATTTTTTTAGATTTTGAAATATTTGCAGACACATAGTGAGATCTCTTGGAGATGGCACCAAATCTAAACATGAAATTATGTTTCATATATGCCTTCTACACATAGCCTAAAGGTAATTTTATATAATATTCTTAATAATTTTAGCATGAAACAAAGTTTAACTGCATTTGACTGTAACCCCTCACATGAAATCGAATGCAGAATTGTCCATCTGTAGCATCATGTCGTTGCTTAAAAAGTTTTGGATTTTGGACCATTTCAATTTTGGATTTTTATTTTATTTTATTTATTTATTTATTTTGAGATGGAGTCTCGCTCTTTCACCCAGGCTGGAGTGCAGTGGTGCCATCTCAGCTCACTGCAAGCTCCACTTCCTGGGTTCATGCCATTCTCCTGCCTCAGCCTCCCGAATAGCTGGGACTACAGGCGCCCGCCACCACGCCTGGCTAATTTTTGTATTTTTGGTAGAGATGGGGTTTCACTATGTTAGCCAGGATGGTCTCGATCTCCTGACCTCGTGATCTGCCCGCCTTGGCCTCCCAAAGTGCTGGGATTACAGGCTTGAGCCACCTCGCCTGGCCTTAATTTGGGATTTTAAGATGATGGATATTCAACCTGTACCTAAATCTTTGAAAGGGTAGTACAATTCCCTCTGAGAATCGAAACAGAAATGCTTCCTGAAAAAGAAGAAAAAGCATTCAGAGAATTATTTATATGCATTTTTATATATAGACTAACACAAAGATACTTGGAGGTAAAAGAAATCTGGGAAATTTTTATTGTTTTTGATTATTTTTAATGTTTATATTGGAGAGTCCCAAGAGATAAGTGTAAGGTGTTAATCCTTTTACTATGGGGAAAATGGACAGAGTTTGTGTACTCTAGCAATGACCAGAAGAAGAGACTGTTAATTTATATTCATATAGATGGACAGACTAGTAGGCTCAATGTAAACATTCAATAATTGTTAATGATTATGTTTGTTTTTTTTTACACTCTAGAACTAGGCAAACAAAGAGACAGAGTTCTCTTGCTCAAAGACAGAATAACAATAATGAGAATAGTGAGAAGAAGCACAGGCTAGTCAATAGCTACAGTGCAACCTGGTAAATGCTATAATGAAAGATCATAAGGATAGCTGTAATTGCATAGATCAGTAATTAAATATTTTGCCTAGGAGAATCAAGACAGGCGTCACTTAGAAATTCCACCTTGGTGTAATAACACTTAAAAGAATTAGCATGATCTCACTAAAGTCGGCTTGATCCTTAAATCCTTACACATTTAGGGATAAAAACAAAAAATCTGATATTATATATTTAGACATCAAAAATACATGTAATAACTTTAAATTTGCTTTTTTTGGTTTTTTACTTAATTGAAAGATTGAGTACCAATGTGATATGGTTAGGCTTTGTGTCTCCACCCAAATCTCATCTTGAATTGTAATCCCCCAAATCCCCATAATCTCCATGTGTCAAGGGAGAGACAAGGTGAAGGTAATTGAATCATGGGGGCGGTTTCCCACATGCTGTTCTTGAGATAGCGAGTGAGTTCTCAGAAGATCTTGTGGCTTAAGGGGGGTCTCTTCCCCCTTTGCTTGGCACTTCTCCCTCCTGCCATCTTGTGAAGAAGGTTCCTTGCTTCCCCTTTGCCTTTTACTATGATTATAATTTTCCTGAGGCCTCCCTAGCCATGTAGAACTGTGAGTCAATTAAAGCTTTTTCCTTTCTAAATTACCTAGTCTTGGGCAGTTCTTTTTGGCAGTATGAGAACAGATTAATACATAATGTATGCCATATATATATATATATATATATATATATATATATATATATATATGTATATAAAATTTGGCCTCAGTTTATATCTGCTACATACTTTCCAGAATGCTGTACTCTTAAAATTCCATTACTCATACTCACATACACACACACACACACACACACACACACACACACGTCTAATATTCATGTGGATTTTGCTGAGCAATATGCATGTTTTTAATTCTTAGCATGACCGCTAGAAGTTGCTGACAAAACAAAGCAGATTGAGAGGCTTTCAACTGTTTGTCTAAAGTTAAGGTTTATGTTTATCTTTCTGAGTTTCTTTTGCCAGCAGACATTTTATGGATCCTGTTCTAAGGAGGATCACACATTCATTTTTCTATTACAGATGAGAGAGAAATTTCATATTTTCACACAGTAGGATGAGCCTTAGACATTATAGCAGCACTGAAGCTTTATCAAAAGCATAATTTAAACAGCCAGACAAATATAAAATATATTTGTAAACACATTTGTAAATACACAAAAATATTAAACATTTGATACTCTAAACAGATTGAAAATTTCTACACAATAAAATTTTCTTAACACTAGTTACCTCTCTGATAAAATACATGAACAACTACATACAGTGTATTTCTTAAAAAATGTTGACTAAAATTTGAATGGATGGTTTCATAAATGTTCTTATGTCTGTAAGTAAGGTAGTTGTTTTCCTATTTTTATTAATTGAGGTGCTGTGTAATTATTTGGTGATGCCATCAGAGTCCATTCTTCTATACAAACTTTCAATAGTCCTGCATTAAATATTCCCTGCATACCTTGGTCACAGAATACTGCTTGTTTTTCATAAGTTAGTGTTTCACTTGTTCTGTTCTGTTTTGTTTTAATATTACTTCTACTTTTTACAGCAATTTCCTATAACTCCCTATATACAGGCATTCTCTTCTTATATGCTTATGGTCATTGTATCTAATGTAAAATCAGGAACTTATATGAGTTAAAAATATTCCTTCATGAATAAAATCCCTAAAGTCCAATGTGGACTATCATCAAGGGTATTTCAGGGTTTAGTAATATTTTTGCTTTATTATTAATTTTTAGATAATATCAGGATATACAATATCCACATCAATGAGTTCCAGAAAGGTAAGGACATATTTTAGAATATAGACTATGTGTAAACCCAGGTCAAGCTGTGTTTCAGATGGTTGAAAATAACTGAACAAATTTGGTAAAAAGAAGTTCTTGCTTATCTACTGCATCCTTTTCATTGATTTGAATCTTAGGAAATTTATCGAGTACATATTTTATAGTGTGCGAAGATAGTGTGCGAAGGCAGCTATGCATATCATCACATGCAATCCACAATATTCTAAACCTTTAAAATATATATTTTAAAAAGGCTAAGTATCTTGCCAATGTCAGGCAACTAGGATGTGGAAAATTGAAATTTGAATTTTTGCTGACTATAGACTTAATCATGTTTCATCAAGGGACACCCACATAATCTTTTTCTTTGCTAGTAATCATCTATGTCATAAGTGAAAGCAATTGCGTTAACAAATAATATTTTGTTTAATAAAAGAAATTAATGTATTTCTTAGAACTTTGGTGAATGCTAACTGACTTCACTTTTATTGCTTTAACTGTATCTGGATAAAAATAACCAAACTCATATATTCAACCTTTCAATTATGGGCTGATACCTACATAAAATGTAGTCAGTAGAGGTCAATTAAATTCCTGCTACTAAAAATAGAAACTTTTAATTCAAATGTAACATGAGACAAGTGGAACTAAAATAATATGTTACAGAAAAAGGGACTGACATACAGAGAGAGAGAGAGAAACTACAATGGAGAAAATATTAAGCTGTTTTTCAGAAAAGTTAGCTGAAAAGTTGGAAGAGGCAGATTTGTAATAAATATTTAAATTAGGTGAAATAAGGATTAAAAACTCACTGAAGAGAAATAATCTGTTTATCCTACCATATTAACCATTTACAGATATTTCAGTTAATTTTGAACAAAAATTTATATTGGGTCAGATAAGACAATTTTTGAGTTTTTAAACAAGTCTTTGAAAAAAAATCCAATACAGTAAATGACATAAATGCTTATTTAAGGGACAACCATACAGAAAAATACAAGTTATAATTCCAAGCTCACTGGATTTGTACTTTAAGATATTTCATGCAGAGAAATCACCCAAAATGAACACACAGGATGCATTATTTATATTATGGTTAAACTTGTTTATTGTTTAATAAGTATCTATTTTGGTTTTACCTTCTCCCTGATTTTTATGAACAAAAGTTGAATTTTAGCATTATAGAATGCACTTACAGATCTGAAAATCTAATTTATTAAACATTTTTCTTATTGGTTGACTATATATAATCTAAAACTAATTAAGACAAAAGTTAGGAGTACCTTATAAATAAAAAGTAATCATCTCCGCAATGAGCATTCTATACAAGTAAACTCAATATCAAAATATATTTTGAAAAATTGTAAGAGACAGGAATTAGAAACATTTAAGGAGTTAGTTGAATTTAGAGATGATTTTACAAGCCAAGCATTTATATTGCTTTATGACAAACAAATATTTTCAAATAAAAAAAATGCAGCCTGGCATTTTTATACAGATAAGAGTTTTGTATTCTACCATTTCAGCCATTCATGTGTAAATGAATTGCTTAAAGTGCTTAAAATAATTGAAAACAGATGAATATTTTGAGCATAATAAGCGTTCTCTCTTCAAATTTTTCTTCCCTAGAAAACCCTTACTTTGGGTGGGGGATGGGTAGAACTACAAAAGTATTCTTTAGTCTAGTTGAATACCATGCATTTGAAATGAACAGATCTGAATTAATGAGGTCATGAGGTCTAAATGAAATAATACAAGTCTCTCTGTGAATTTAAAACTGGATGAAAAACAGTTGCTAGGCCAATTTTTCCTCTAGACATAATAACCCTAACAAAGGTACTTGAAACTGGGCCTAGATGGTTTTTTAAAAACAGACTTCATTTTTAAGAGCAGTTTTAGGTTCACAGACAAATGAGGTAGAGGGTATAGTTTCCATACATCTCCTATTCCCACATATGCACAGCCTGCCCCACTGTCAACATCCTGCACCAAAGTGGCATGCTTGTTAGAATCAATTAACCTATATTGACACATCATTATCACCCAAAGTCCATAGTTTACAATAGGGTTAACTTATGGTGGTGTACATTCCATAGGCTTAGACAAATGTATAATGACATGCATTCACCATTATAGCATCATATAGGGTAGTTTCATTGATTTGAACATCCTCTCTGCTCCACTGATTTAACAATTTCTGCCTCATAACCACTGAGTTTTTTTTTGCTGTCTCTATAGTTTTGCCTTTTACTGATTGTCATATTGTTTGAATGATATAGTGCAATGTATAGCCATTTCAGATTGGCTTTTTTCAATTACTATCATGCATTTAAGTGTGAACTAAGAAGAGGTGGAAAACCAGACTGCAATGCAATAAGACAGGCATTTATTGCGGTCTTTGAAATTGTAATTCTGGAGGCACATATTTGTCCAAAGATCAAATTGTGTTCCGAAGAGACAGAGGGGAGTAGGAAATTTTAACAGTACACTGAGGGTAATTACACAAGTTGTTTTGAAAGAATTATCACTGGTGGAAGAACCTGGCTTAGTACATGAGTCCATAGTTCCTTGATTGTTGCTATTCAAGAGTTCCAGTGTTGGTGACATTCAGTTGTTTTTCAGGATGCTATGGTTGTTGCAGTTTGGCCCAGTTCAAAGTTTCAAGGCAAACTTCTGTTTTTTTTTTTGTTTGTTTGTTTTGTTTTTCTTTTTTGCAAGGTTACAAGCCATGCAGGTAATCCTTCTTAGAATGGCTTCTGAAATCTACTTCAGAACTCGGAACCTGCGTAACGCCATTTTGTACAGCACATTTTACAAAGGTTCCTCCATGTCTTTTCGTGACTTCATGGCTCATGTCTATTTAGCCCTGAATAGTACATTGTCTGGGTGTACTGCAGCTTATTTATCCATTCACTCTTTGAAGGATCTTAGCTGCTTACAAATTTTGACAATTAGGAAAAAGCTGCTATAAACACCATTGTGCAGTGTTTGTGTGCACATACAATTTCAAGTCATATGAGTAAATATCAAGTAGCATGATTGCTGGTTTGCACGGTAAAAGTATATTTAGTTTTGCAAGAAATTACCAAAATGTCTTCCAAAATGGCTGTACCATTTTTTGTTCCCAACAGCAATGAATGAGAGTTCCTATTGTTTCACCTGCTCGCCATCATTTGGTGTTTTCAGAGTTTGAAATTTGGGCCATTATAATGGGTATGTAGTGATATCTTAATATTGTTTTAATTTGCATTTCCCTAATGATGTATGATATTGTATATGTTTATTTGTCAACTTGGACTTTCTTTGGTGAGATATCTGTTTAGATCTTTTGTCTATTTTTTAAAATATCAGGTTGTTCCTTTCTTCTTATTGAGTTTTGAGAGTTTTTGTATATTTTGGATAACAGACCTTTATCAGATATATCTTTTACAAATAGTTTCCCTCAGTTTGTCAAGCCTTCATTTTTAAAATAAACAAAATTCCATAAACAAATGTCTAACTCTATAGAAAGCTAATTCTTGCCCTGGGTATTGTCTCTATTTCACAACATCTAACTGCATAAACTCCTTAAGTGTTCCCAAACTCTATGTGCATTCTGAGAATACACAATCTTCATTAGGTCAACTAATTTTTGTTTAATAAGCTGTGTTATTGATTAAATATCTTTTTTACACTGTCCTATGGAAACTCTAGGGGCCCTAAAAGGCTTTGATGTGAGCAGTGGGTTAGGAGAGATCTTTCTCCAAAGGGATATTGGAATTGACACTGGGTTAAAGACCCTAAGAGACTAGCTCTTGAATGACCTGGATGGATTATGTTAAATCGAGTAATCACTGTCAAGATATTGCCAAATGTCTACTGCTAAAATTTTCTGAAATTCTTTACTTGTGGGAATGCCAAATGTGTGACACAAAATTCTCACTTATTTGACCCCCAGACCCAAGGCGGGTATTTTAATTGAATAAAGTCATTTTGTCTGAACCAGGATGATGAATTTCTTCAGTTGAGTGCTCTAGGAAGCTGCTAGCAATAGTGAGGACAGCATGACAAAAATAAAATTTGTCATTCTCACTTGGCTACTAAAATTATCTCTGCTTTCCTTCATTAATTAATGTCCTCCACTTTTTCCTTATAAACATATAAAAACAAAAAGGAGTAGATCCTTGTTTTACATATTTGAATTTCTTTTTTCCCCACTGTTAATAACAGGAAAATTTACCACCCTTATAGCATTCATTCATTTCTGAATGAAATACCTAGATTTTACCACCTAACTGGCACTGCTGTAGACAGTGGTATGTGACCATCAACAAGCACACAAAATTTACTACTTTCACGATGCTTACTTTCCAACTGGGGAGAGTGAAGATGAATAAATAGAATATTTAGTGTATTAAAGAATAGCAAATTCTAAAAGTAAAATTGAAACGTGAAATGTGGACAGGGAATGTGTATGAAGGAGGGTGGGGTGTCACACATGTGGGTTGCAATCTTAGGTAGCGTGACCAAAAAATGCAACATTGAGAAAATGACTTTGGAGTAAATATCTGGATGAGGAGTTTTGATTTGAAGCAGAAGAAAAACAAGTGCTTAAAGCCCTGCTGTACATAGCCTGAGATATTCAAAGAACAGTGAGGCGTCCAGTTAATTGGAGAAGAGCAAGCAAGAACATAATTTGAGATGCTAGCAGATAGCATTTTGCATTTCCTTCACGCCTTTCTATAATTATTTTATTGAATTATTTTAGTAGCTTTTTAACATAGTAGGTATGAGTATGCCACTTTACACAGGTGAAGACAGAATCAAAATGTGCTATGCTTTATCTAATGTCTAACAACTAGCAAATTGCAGCATTCCCCCGGAGATGTAAATTTTTGGGATACAAATTCATCACAAATTCTGTTACAGTACAAATGCCACTTCATGACTAAAGAAATAACTAACATCTAAAATGAAAACTATCCTGCCATGTAGTGTCCCTGGCACCTAATTCAAAACAGCATGCAGGCCACATCTTCCAAGTAAAATCATTATTTTAGCAGCTTCCGTCAAGCTGGGCCTCTTATTTGTGGTTTTGTTCATCCATGCCAATGTTCTACTTGATATATATGTCAATGAACTAGAGGAAAATTTTCACTTATGTGCAGTGTATTCTCAAAGATAAATTTTTAAAAAATGGAGTGAATGCTCATCAAATTACAGATTTTTTTCCTAAGAGAAATTTGAATCACAATTGATCTCAATTACAAAATAAACAGCATTTACACTGTAGATATTATCTTTAGTTTTTGTCTTTTCTTAATACCTAATACAAAGCAGATGGTTGAAGTTCTATGAATGTTTCATTTGAACATAACATTTAGCAGCTTTTTACACCATTAATTATTTACAAATTGGTTTCAATTTAATCCAATTTGTAACATTTTTATTTTTCTCCAAAAGAACAAATAATTTTAATTTTTTCTCTCTTTAACAAAGTAGCTAGAAACCATCCTCTAGGATTGCCTATAGGGAATAATCAACCACAGATAAATATATAATTCCCTATTACTAGGAAACTTGGAAATTGCTGTAGTAAAGTTGCCTATTTGAGAAACAACTATAAAAATTCATCAATATCTGAAATCTAGAGGAATTTGCCCTTGTATCTTTTGATTTGGGGTTCATGTTACAAAACCCATGTTGATTTTCTCTGTTCACAAAATGTTAATACATATGGGTAAATTTCCTGGTCATCTGACACAAGTCTTTTCCTGTAAATCATTTTTTAGCAATTGAGTAGGATGACTGCCTCTACCTTTGAGCTGCCACATGGAGCACCCAAAATAAATTTTCCATATACGTTAAAACGTATGTTTAAATAAGATCATTTTTTCATTTTAGTTTTTATATTTTTTAACTCTTATTTTAGATTTGGGGGTACATGTCCAGGTTTGTTGTATGTAGGTAAACTCATGTCAAGGAGGCTTGATGTACAGATTATTTCGTCACCCAGGTACTAAGCTTAGTACTCAATAGCTATTTTTCCTGTTCCTCTCCCTCCTCCCACCTCCACCCTCAAGGAGGCCCCAGTATCTGTTGTTCCCTTCTTTGTGTTCATGAGCTGTCATGATTTAGCTTCCACTCATAAGTGAGAACATGCACTATTTGTTTTCTGTTTCTGTATTAGTTTGCTAAAAATAAGGGCCTCCAATTCCATCCATGTTCCCAGAAAAGACACAATCTCATTTTTTATGGCTGCATAGTATACCATGGTGCAAATGTATCACATTTTCTTCATCCAATCTGTCACTGATGGGCATTGAGATTGATTCTATGTGTTTGCTATTGTGAACAGTGCTGCAGTGAACATACATATACATGTGTCTTTATGGTGAAATGATTTATATTCCTCTGGGTATAAACCCAGTAATAAGATGGCTGGGTTGAATGGTAGTTCTGTTTTTAGCACTTTGAGGAATCGCCACACTGTCTTCCACAATGGATGACCTAATTTACACGCCCACCAACAGTGTATACTTGTTCTCTTTTCTCCACAACATTGCCACTTGCCAGCATATGTTATTTTTTGAATTTTTACTATTAGCCATTCTGACAGGTGTGAGATGGTATCTCATTGTGGTTTTGATTTGCATTTCTCTAATAATAAGTGATATTCAGCTTCTTTTCATATGATTTTTGGCCGATGTATGTCTTCTTTACAGAAGTGTCTGTTCATTTCCTCTGCCCACTTTTTAATGTGTTTTCTTTTGTTATTTGTAAATTTAAGTTCCTTATAGATGCTATATTAGAACTTTGTCAGATGCATAGCTGCAAATATTTTCTCCCATACAGTACGTTGTCTGTTTACTCTGTTGATAGTTTCATTTGCTGTGCAGAAGCTCTTAAGTTTAATTAGATCCCATTTGTCAATTTTTTGCTTTTTTTTTGCAATTGCTCTTTGGTGTCTTTGTCATAACTCTTTGCCTGTTTCTGTGTCCTGAATGATACTACATAGGTTGTCTTCTAGCATTTTTATAGTTTTGGGTTTTACATTTAAGTATTAAATCCATCTTGTGTTGATTTTTGTACATGGTGTAAGAAATGGCTTCAGTTGTAATCTTCTGCATGTAGCTAGCCAGTTAACCCAACACTGCTTATTGAATAGGGAGTCTTTTCCCCGTTTCTTGTATTTGTCAGCTTTGTGGAAGATCAGATGGTTGTAGGTGTGTGGACTTATTTCTAGGCCTCTATTCTGTTCCATTTGTCTATGTGTCTGTTTTTGTCCTAGTACCATGCTGTTTTAGTTAGTGTAGCCCTGTGATATAGTTTGAAGTTGGGTAACAAGATGCCGCCAGTTTTGTTCTTTTTTCTTAAGATTGTCTTGGCTATTTGGGCTCTTTTTTTATTCTATATGAATTTTAAAATAGTTTTTTTTTTTTCTGGTACTATGAAGAATATCATTGGTAGTTTGATAGGAATAGCATTGAGTCTATAAACTGCTTTAGGTAGTATGACCATTTTAATGATATGTATAGGATATCTTTCTATCCAGGAGCAAAGAATTTTTTTAAAATTTGTTTGTGTCATCTCTGATTTCCTTAAGCAGTGTTTTACAGTTCTCATTGTAGAGATACTTCACCCTCCTGGTTAGCTGTATTCCTAAATATTTTATTCTTTTTGGGCAATTGTGAATGAGATTGAATTCCTGATTTGGCTCTCGGCTTGGTTGTTGTTGCTGTATAGGAATGCTAGCAATTTTTGTATTCTGAGACTTGCTGAAGTTGTTTATCAGCTTAAGAAGCTTTTGGGCTCAGACTATGGTGTTTTCTAGATATAGAATCATGTCATCTGCAAACAGGGATAGTTTGACTTCCTCTCTTACTATCTGGACATCCTTTCTTTCTTTCTCTTGCCTAATTGTTCTGGCCAAGACTTCTAATACTATGTTAAATAGGAGTGGTGAGAGATGGCATCCTTGTCTTGTACTGGTTTTCAAGAAGAATGCTTCCAGCTTTTCCCCATTCAGTATGATGTTGGCTGTGGGTCTGTCATAGATGGTTCTGAGATCAATTAAAACGTATTACCCAAATATGTTGAAAATCTACCGAGGCTTTTTCCATTGATGGGCAAAAGAAAAAAGATAAAAGGTCTATTTACTTTATGAACTGTAGCAAAATGTAATAGAATATTAAAATTACCCCATACATTATGTGTAAATAGGAAGCGCTTAGGAAATTCACAAAATATACTATCTGAAAACAATTCCACAGCTTAAATATTTTACTTACATATTGAATAATCAGAGAAAGTTTTAGGATATCAGTGCATAGTGTATCAAATCTAATGTCATTCAATATGTAAAATGCAAAAACTACATCTATCTTATTTTTATTCTTTTGACAAATTTTTGATCCATGATCATTGGTTAAAATATTTTAAGAACTAGGCATTTTGTCAAGTGATAGAGATTAAGAATATAGGTTAAAATAACAAGTATATAAAATAAGTATCTCATAATTCTACAGAATATTCACATAACTCTTATCTCTCGATTTTGGTGCTTTTATCTACCTGGGGGAGTTTTGCTTTTTCCTTGCCTGGCTTTTTTTGGGGAGGAGGCAGGTGGGACAGAATCTTGATCACTGCAACCTCTGCCTCCTGGGTTTGAGTGATTCTTGTGGCTCAGCCTCCCTAGTAGCTGAGATTAAAAACCTGTGCCACTATACCCAGCTAATTTTTTCTCCTCAAGTGATCTGTGTGCCTTGGCCTCCCAAAATGATGGAATTACAGGTGTAAGCCACTGTGCTCAGTCACATATTTCTATAACATTTTAAAAGAACTTTCTGGATTGAGTTAGTTCTCATTCCTATATGTCACTTTAGGAATCTGTGTGCTAGTGCTCAGGATAGTTATCAGATTGAAATTGTCTATTCCTTTTTTTGATTAGACCGGTACATTTTTGCACTTGGTTTATTGTTCACCAATGTGGTCCAGAAGTCAAAAAGAATCTTTAATATACTATAGGTATTTTTTAAATTATATTAATCAAATAACACAAATTAAAAGCTATATTTTGGTAGATATTGTAGAGCAATAGAAATAGTTACAAAAAGCCTTTTATAGATTTGACAGTATAAAATGACACTAGTAATACAACATGTTGCATGATATTTTGCAGCATACAAAAATGCTGATATAAAATGAGGATGCTCTAAGCAAAAATGGGTAGAATTTCTTTGTGGATTTTTGTTTGTTTTTGTTTTGTTTTGTTCTTCTTTTTGAAACAGAATCTTGCTCTGTCACCCAGGCTAGAATACAGTGGCACCATCTCAGCTCACTGCAACCTCTGCCTCCTGGGTTCAAGCAATTATCCTGCCTCAGCCTCCCAAGTAGCTGGGATTACAGGCATGTTCCACAATGCCCGGCTAATTTTTGTATTTTTAGTAGAGATGATATTTCACCATGTTTGCCAGGCTAGTCTCAAACTCTTTAACTCAGGTGATCTCCCTGCCTCAGCCCCCAAAAGTGCTGGGATTGCAGAAATGCAACACCGCGCCCAGCCTGTTTTTAAAATATAATTGAACATTGATATATTTAACAGAGAGTTATTGCTTTCTTAATAAAAATAACTTAAAATTGCATGAACACATATTATAAATATCCCTCACACATCTTCCTAATAATAAAAACAAATAATATAAACATTTATTTCATGCAATTATAATTAAATTACATTTATCCCTGATTTAATATTGATTCCTTTAAACATATTATGTAATAATTAAGTTTAAGAATCTCATTACAACATTGCAACAATTAAAAGACTCTTATGTGTAATCTATGTTCCTAGGCCTATAAGTTATCAAAAAAGTAAATGAAAATTTATCATTGTTAAATATGACAATAAGTGGTCAATATGGCAAAATGGCAATTATATGAATGAGGCAATTGAGAATTAGGCGAACTTAAAGGAAACTAAGGAGTATCCTTTAACCAATAACCTCCTTGAAGACAGAAGCTGTACCATGCTCATTCTAATTGTAGTTACAATCATGTTGCCTATCACATTAGAAATAATACATATTTGTTAAAATGATTTATGAAATTTTAATTGATTTTCCTAATGATTCGGATGGTATGTAGTATGAACACACATGATTCCCTGTCTGCTTTTTTTCAGCTGTTTTTGGTATTTGACGTGAGCCTCCTTCCAAAGAATAAAGAAAGAATGGAAACAAATGAAAACATTATGGCTAACATTCAAAAGATATGCCATTACCTAAAGTTGTGTAAGCTAACCGGAAAGAGATCCTGTGCCTGTCCGACTTTATTGTAACACTGCAAATATTAATGCCAGTGTTCAAGAGGGCATGGGCAGGAATGGAAACCTACAAAGGTAAAGGGCATATCACATATTTAGGAAGGAAAGGCTATGCTTATGTTAAAAAGGTTTCATTGGACTAATTCTATGTTAAACAACTTAGATCCCAAAGTAAAACAGTATACAGAGTAAGAATGTACTAGGGATGTCAGCACAGGTCATCTGGTAATGGTGACAGAAATACAATTCAATTTATTTGGGTTTATTACATATTAATATTGATGTGCTGCTTTTATGTGTCTGTCTTTTTACTTTCATGTATCTGGTTCTGAAACAATCTGATTTTTAAAACTAACAATAACGTGTGCTGAGCCTGCCTGATGAAGGACTGACCCTGAAATGTAGCACATTCTCTAAGGTAAAGAAGACCATCTGTGAGTCCACTTAAGACATAGCCAAGCTATGTTCTACTAGATTGGAAACAAATGACATTTCTTATGTGAAATATCTACACGAGGTATCATCAATATGCGTTCTTCCTGGTTTTATGTTTTCAGTCCGTTGTCCAAGAAGATAATTTATATAGCATTCATAATTGTATCTCCCATAATCTATAGACTTTTAGCTCACTATGTGGGTTCCTTTCATTAGGGTTACATACCCTTGTTCTGAGAACCATGATCCAGGCACTAAAAGCATCCTTGTTTAATAATGCCCAGAATGACTATTTATAAATAATGTTTTTTAGACAAGAAGAGTAAACTATAAGTATTTGAGGTGAAGGATATGTTCATTAGGATATGTTAATTTTACATTGTATACATATATCATAGCATCACTTTGTACTTCATAAACAATTATAATTTGCCAATATAGAATAAAATAAAAAATAAAAGAAAAATGGCAAATCATAATATAATGACAACTATGAATCTTTTATGGATAACAATACAAAAATGTTGAAAGCACCTGAATAAAATTATCATGTAAACTCCCACATTTCTTCACTTTAGTTATTTAAGAACACTTAGGCAATGGCATCTTTTGTATTCTTGTCTGTCCTCCTTTTGCTCATTCTTATTCAACTGATATTCTTCAGTAAACCTTGTGCTGCATTTATCCTAGAGCATTCTCATTTGTGTCACTTCCTTAGATTAGATGCTTGCTAAAAACCAACGAAGATTCCTAATCTTTGCATAATATCAAGTCAAAGCTTACTTTCTCCACAAAGTCTTCATTGATGAAGCTCCTCAGGAAGTTTGCTTTCCTCCAATACAATTTTCTACTTACCTATAACTTGTGGCTATCTTCTCTTTCTATTTTCTTGGCGCTAATTTTTGTTTTACTGCCTGCTATTGATGTTTTGCTTTTATTACTTTGCATCTGAATAAAATGATAGAGGGGACATTATTATTTTTATTGGACAAAGGATATTTCAAATTAGGTACCAATTGGGAACACACTTCTCTGTTAACATAAAAATACATACCATTTAACTTCCTCTGTAAAATTCTATTCAATTTACATGAATTTTATTTGAAAAATGTGAGTTATAGTGCTCTATATTAGAAAATAGTAAAAACTCAAATACATTAATTAGGAATTATGTTTTTAAGGAAATGGACTTTTGTGCAATAATGCAATGATACACAGATTATTTCTAACAGTATTCTGCTTTTTTCTGAATTATAAGTTACTTGATTATTACTAATGTAATTGAACTAGTTGGCTTGTGAAAAGAATATGAAAAAGCAAGAAGATTACTAGTTTTTGAGTATCTATAATGTACAAGACATGAGCTAGGTTAATATATATATATGTATTTGATTAATTTTTCCTTAAATTTCTCAAGGTAGGGATTTTTACTACATTTTTAAATGCCATTTTTTGTTTAGACAACGTCCTCTTACAGGACTTCATTTTCCAAGCAATAGCATATGTTAAAGATTAGGTAGAAGAGTGGGTAAATTTACTTAGTTCTCTGTTGCCCCATGGGCACGTGAGCTGAAAACATATTTTTTAATCTACACATTACCTAGCTTCTTTGACTTGAAAGAGTTGAAATAAATATATAACATGAATGTTCATTTTTTTACACTAGTTATAGCTCACTAAATCTTAATAAATGAAGTCTGCTGTTAATGTTAGCAGAATATATACCTTATCTCCTTAAGTCAACATTGCTGGACTATTTCATGAGTTTTGAATACCCAACTTCACATTTGAAACAGCATTAGTCAACAAAAGCATCCACTTATCAAGACACTTTAGGTTTGCAACATATGTTCATTATTTACCTTCCTAAGCACTCAGCTTCTTTCAAAGGCCCTGACAAGCCAAATAAACCAGTTATTCCTCATGCAGGAGAATGTGTGAGCATGGCTTTTGTTCTTTCAATTGCAAGAGATACGTGGAAAAAAAGATTTCTTGAGAGATTTGTGAGGTGCAGGTTTTATTTGATAATCAGACACCACTTTAACTGAATGGAAAAGAAATGTACAGCACTTTCTATCGTTTATGCAATCTTTTTGCCCTCTTTATCCCAAAATGAGCAGTAAAATTAATTGAGGAATTCATAAAGTTAATTAAGAAGTTCATAAAGATGGCATGGCAAAGGCTTTTGACTTCAGTTGTTTTCAATTCTGGAGTAATGAATAATTCTAATGTACTCAAATATTTTTTAACTGGTGATAATTATTAGTATTTATTTGTGTTCTAAAAGTTGGTTTATTTTCACGTTTGTTGGTAGGTTTAAAAGGGCACGCATTTGTCAGTGATCACATTTTACAGAGTGCCGAGGACCAGGCTATATAATTTGGTTTATTGAAAGCCAGCAGGACACCGTGTAATTTTAGAAGCTCAATGTGCTATTGTTGATGACTATTATGATGATGGTTGATGTATTTTTTTTATTATCTGTACAACACTAATAATATCTTATTGCTTTAATTTTTCAATGCAACAAAATAAATGTTAACAGACAGCCATATGGAATACATTATATTATGTACAATATGTGCAAAAACATTTACAAAGTATCTTTTTTTGGAGACGGAGTCTTGCTCTGTCCCTTAGGCTGGAGTGCAGTGGCGCGATCTCAGCTCACTGCAAGCTCCACCTCCCGGGTCCACGCCATTCTCCTGCCTCAGCCTCCCGAGTAGCTGGGACTACAGGTGCCCGCCAACACGCCCGGCTAATTTTTTATATTTTTAGTAGAGATGGGGTTTCACCGTGTTAGCCAGGATGGTCTCGATCTCCTGACCTCGTGATCCGCCCGTCTCGGCCTCCCAAAGTGCTGGGATTACAGGCATGAGCCACCGTGCCCGGCCTACAAAGTATCTTAAAAATTAAAAATAACAAAATAATACATAGATCTAACAACATACTGAAAAAACAAATATACTCTCAAGGCATGAACTTTATTGTTTTTGCTATTTTTATTATAGAGTATCTGTCTCTTGGCTTCCTGAGAATCTGTCGTGATTAAATAGTGAATGAAAGAAACTGAATGGTATGTAATTGGCTTTTTCAAATAAAGCTAATTAGAAGTAAAGTAGCCACGTAGCAATGGATGAACATTGTAATTAAAAAGAATTGCACAGATAATCTTATGAAAATTGCAGAGATAAGGGTAGATATTTATTGTTGATGAAATAATAAGCCAGGGCTGAATTTCAGTTTTTGAGTCTCATAAGAGTAATATAGTTCTAAACAAAATATTTCTCTTTTAGCATTTTAAAAGTTATTATGCAAATATACATATAAATAATATTAATTAAATTATTTATAATTATTAGTAATTTGCTTTATTGAGTAGGTGTACAAAATGATTTTCATCAATTAAAAAAGCATGCAAGGAATTGATTTTTCAAAACAACTAAAATTCTACTCAAGCTAATAGCTTCCATTTAATACCATGAATACCTAGAAATATTTTCTCCTCAGCTTTTTGACTCTGCATGACAGATAGCTTTGTCAATTTAACTTTTTCGACACACATTTTCGATGTCGTGACACTACTCTCTGAGGGCTAAACTATGTGGAGATAAGTTATTTTAGAATATTTAAAAGATACCTTAAAATCACAATATTGCCTTTTTAAAATAGTTTATTGAAGGCATCTTAAAAATGATAAGGCACTAAATTTGCATTGTATTTTAGCCTAAGTATTAGCTTTAGAAAGTTCTTGGGCTAGGAGGCTGATCACCTCACACATCCTGGAAATATTTAATTAGCTCCTCTCCACCACACCCCTAAGAGCAATTCCTTACCATTCTAAATGCACAGATGCAACTTGGAAATGCACAAGAAGAAAAGATAGGGCATAAAGGCTTCTTTGCTGGGCACCTCTAACATGAGGATCTCAAGTGCCAAGGGCCTAGTTTTGATAATATGGGAAGAAATAGAAGAGAGTAAGTGTATTTCATCTCTAGACACCTCTTGCTCACTGTTGCCGGGAAATGTTACAGACTTTGCATCATTTGTCTGTATGTGTCATTTCATTCATTTTAAAACTCCCTTTAACAGATCTAATTTTTTTAATTGAGAGGTAAAAAGTGGATATATTTTCAGTGTACTTATCTGATTTTTTAAAACGTGTAAACATGACTATCAATAATGTAGTAAACATTGACTCTTTTCTTCTTATATATTCATATACCTAATACTTCCTAGTAATGTTCTAGTTCAGTTTTTAACTTTTTCTCTTATTATTTTGTCTTTTGTTGATACTTTATACTTTCATATTACTTTATCTATTAAAATATATTTAAAATTTATTCATTTAAAAATCGTATTATATAATTTAAGCACAATATAATATTTAACAAAGTAATAAAATTGATTCATAATAATTATCTTATCAAATTTAAAGAAAGAGGCTATATATAAGAAAACAGTACATATTCTATATGAGAAAGGCAGGGCTTGCTCTTGCTCAAGGCCTGTTTCTAGGCCATGAGACATCTTTCTATAAATTAGAAAAATGGTTCTTTTTATGGATGGATCCAGCTCTGCAACTAGAAATCTTAATGAATAGATAGCGCTTTATGTGCAGGAAAATGGTACTGGATGCATGACTTGAAGTACAGCACACAAGCTTCATTCCATCTCCTTTACTCCCCTTGGTCAGGAACCTCTGTGTAATGCAAAATTCATACATATATATGATCATATTGCTTGTAGCACTCCTTCTAACCTCTCTATAGCACAAAATTAGTTTAATTTAAAAGTAAAAGTTAGAAATAATGTCACAAAATTACTTCAACTGCAAGACATATTAGTTTGTCAGGCCAAAATTTCTACCCATATCCAACTATCCAACTATACATATTAATTCCTGCAACTTGCCTTTGCAAATGCAAAATAACTATGCTTCTTTCCATGGCAACCCCTCTGAACTGAGACAACAATCTCTTTATATCTCATTTACTAAATGTCCTTTAAAATATGTAGAAGCACATAAGCTTTCTGTAAAAACCTTAGCACAAAACGAAATAGAAAGTAGAATGTGTTCACGAACTTACTTCTCGTTATCAGCCCGAATTTAGTCTATGGAAGCCAACAGGTATTTGAACTTTCTTAGTGCAACTCTCAGAGAAACAACACAAGAGTGTGACATAATGGGCACTAGAATCACATTTCCAACAATTTTGTAAGTTTCCTATTCTCCTGGGTACGTCCCCTTAAACAAACAAAAAGTATTTAATTCACTTCCATCCAAACAAATTAAGAAAACAAGTTTCCTCTGGACTTTGCCTCATTTTGTTCTACAAATCTCTTCCAAAATTAAAACCTCTTATGACAGATATATACCCCCTTATTTTACATGGTATTACTCTTGGAATTCTATCTATAACCCTCATGATAGATGTATTACATTCCTCTCAAACTACTTGCATTTCCCTCAACTTTTGATGTTATCTCAATGAATTCTTTTCTTGCTATTCTAGGAATTTTCTGTACCATTGTGCCCAGAATTGGTTCCTTCCGGTGGGTTCTTTGTCTCGCTGACTTCAAGAATGAAGCTGTGGATCCTCGTGGTGAGTGTTACAGTTCTTAGAGATGGTGTGTCTGGAGTTTGTTCCTTCAGACGTTCAGATGTGTCCAGAGTTCCTTCCTTTGGGTGTGTTCATGGTCTTGCTGACTTCAGGAATGAAACCACAGACCTTCACAGTGAGTGTTACAGCTCTTAAAGGTGGCATGTCTGAAGTTGTTTGTTCCCCCCCTGGGTGGGTTCGTGGTCTGACTTCAGGAGTGAAGCTGCATACCTTCACAGTGAGTGTTACAGCTCATAAAGGTAGTACAGATCCAAAGAGGGAGCAAAATGTACTGTGAAGAGTGAAAGAACAAAGCTTCCACAGCGTGGAAGGGGACCGGAGTGGGTTGCCACTCCTGGCTCTGGTGGCCAGCTTTTATTCCCTTATTTGGCCCTGCCCACATCCTGCTGATTGGTCCATTTTACAGAGTGCTGATTGGTCCATTTCACAGAGTGCTGATTGGTTCATTTTACAGAGTGCTGATTGTTGAGTTTACAATCCTTTAGCTAGACACAGAGCACTGATTGGTGTGTTTTTACAGAGTGCTGACTGCTGCATTTACAATCCTCTAGCTAGACAGAAAAGTCTGGAAGTCCCCACTCGACCCAGGAAGTCCAGCTGGCTTCACCTCTCACCATTTCTCATTTCTCCATTGAAATATTTCAAAATGCCCTGTCCTGTAGCTGCCTGTGAGGTTGTAAACATCAATTCAATAACATTTATAAAGAACTTACAATGTAGAGGCCTTATGCCAAAGTGTCTTTCATATTTAACAACCCAGGCAACAACAGCAACATCATCAAGAATAAATATTATCATTTACTCTTAATCCTTTCTAGGTAATGCCCCACTTCTTTTGATCATGCCTGACATATAGAAAAAAAAAATGTGACTCTCTAAATTCCAATTCTTTTCTGCTCTCAGTGCTATATGTACAACCCAGCTAATCTCCAAAGTTTATATCCAAAGTTCACATTTCATTCTTTATTTGCTTCGATCACTTAGAATTTTGATAATAACATTCTCTTATGAAATGCTTTTCTTTGTTGCCATGACACTAGTCTCTCTGAGTCTTCTTTATATGATGAAACTTTACTACCCATGATCCAACAGACTAATTTTCCTTTACTTACGTTTAAATCATTTTTGCACTAGGTTATTTCTTAAACCCTCTTGCCTCTTCATATTCGTGTTCTCTTCTTGTGTACTCCAAAAAGAATGTCAATAATCATGAGCACAGAGAAAACCCTGTTTTCTCTCTTTGCACATTTCAAAAAGAGTAAGAACAATCAGGCATGCTATAGTAATTTTGTGTTTATTGGTTAATATTTGAAGTGTTTAATAAGAATTATTTAAAATGGTTACTCCCATCGGTATGTCTTTATGGTTATCTATAGGAATTATACTAACCATGAAGGTTTTATACAAGGATACAATTCTCTACTTTTTAATGAGTTCTTGTCTTTCCTAACAGTTGTATTGGCAGTGATTAATTTTAGTTTATTTCCCATATTAAATATAGATTGTGCATTTCAAAAGAGAAATGCTTAGTATCTCAAATGTTGGCCACTCACCCTTAGGTACTCATTTATTTTCTGCTTCTGCAGATTACTGAATTGGCTAATTACTTCAAAGCACTATGTCAAGAATTCATTTCTGTTAAATGCTGATAATGTCTGAGTAGCAATAAGCGTTTATCTACAAGATGTTTTTGTAGAATCAAAATGCCCTATATGTGTCATTTCATAACAAATAAAAGAAAAAAAATAAAATCCCAAAGCTCTTAGTGATAGTATAAGTTCCTCTGTCTACAGTGGCCTTGATTATGACAGCATGGATTAACAATCACCAAAGCCAGATATAAATTATAATTGATGAAATAAAGACAGCTGGTTCATGAATATAAGAACATAAGAGTTGGGCATTGACTGATTGGAGTGACATTTTTTGGATTAAAAAATTTATAAAATTTTTATTTTTTCTTTGCTTCAGAGAACAGAGAAAAACTGTTTTCTGAAAAGCAATTCTGCAAAAACATTGACATTAACAAAAAACACACCTGCTTGGAAAAGAGGATAACATGTTGGACAATGGTTAAATTATATTTACTTTGATATGTCTCTGGAGGTTAAATCAATACCTGTATGAAGCTTGAAGTTCACATTTATTATGGAGGGCACTTGTAAAAGTGTATCTGAAGCCTGTAAGAGCCAGAAGGACTCAGTCATATGCTGCCTTCTGTGCCTGATGTTTTCTTTTGAACTAGGGAGAGACGTGAACATACAGTCTGTTATTGTAGTTTATGCACAAAGACTCAAATAAGAAAGATGTGGGTGTATGTATAAGAAAAGGTTTAGAAAACTTGGCATATTTTCTATGAATGTTAAGAACTTGTATTACTGTAATTCTGTAAGTCTAAATGCAATCGAAGGACACAAACATCTCTATGTATAATGAGATTAACTGAAACATAATTGAACAAAACTGGAAATAAAGAAAAATCTATCAAATAATTAAGAAATAATGCTATTTTCTTCTAATGAAGTCATAATGTTCTCTCATTTTTAAATTCAGAAAGTAGTAACTCCAATATAAAGCACCTATAGCAGCAATCTCAGGCACTTCATTACCTGACATAATACCTTACAGTATAAAACTGTTGAGATCTAAAAATATGCAACAAGTTAAATCTGCATCCTTATTTAAGACAGTATTAAAATCATGACATTGAAAAGAATAATAATATGATATGACATGACATAATGTGATGTGATATGACATACATAATATAAAATAATATAATATATCATATCTTACTCCACATTTTGGGTTACTTGCGGAATGCTAGTATTGAACTTGGGTTGAATTCTTTGGAACAGAATGATATGGCTCAGAAAGAAAGGGAGTTAAACTAAATCCAGCGACAATCTCAGGCATTCCAGGATGAGATATTATATGATTAAAAATACAGAATTTGCCGAGGCGGGTGGATCACGAGGTCAGGAGATTGAGATCATGCTGGCTAACACGGTGAAACCCCGTCTCTACTAAAAATAAGAATAAAAAATTTAGCCAGGTGTGGTGGCACGTGCCTGTAGTCCCAGCTACTTGGGAGGCTGAGGCAGGAGAATTGCTTTAACCTGGGAGGCAGAGGTTGCAGTGAGCTAAGATCATGCCACTGCACTCTAGCCTGGGCGACAGAGTGAGACTCCATCTCAGAAAACAGAAAACAAAAACAAAACCCAGAATTTATGACAAGAGTAATTAAACACATATAAAATCATACATATCACTGTGTTGATGCATACTGTTCTGAAATTCTCTGTACTTGATTAAAAAAAAAACACCAAATGCACATAGTGTAACTTTACACGAAGGCTCTTTTCTTCATCCTCATGGCATCCATTATGGCACTTTCTGCTGAACCTAAACAGCTCATCTCCTTGTTAAAAGAAAGTTTCTAGTGGAGAGTACACAGGATATCTACTAACTAAGGCAGGACACTATGTTTGATGTCTAGATAGAGACAAAAATACACATAGAGGGAGGTAGGAGTTTATAGACAAAAAAGTAGAGTATTTGGTATCATATGAATCTAAATATTAATTTGGGTCTACCAGTTACTTATGTTATGCTTTCTTCATCTGTAATATTGGGATAATACTAATCGACTTTTAAAATATTAAGCACAGTGCTTTGCATGTGGTAGGGATTTAACATTTTAAAATGCTTACATTAAGATAGTATTTTAGTCAAAGCTGTGCCTTTGAAATAGCTAGGCATCCTGTCATAGGTTACTAATATAAGTCAGGCATACTGTGAAATGCTTCTGGAAGGAGTTTCAGGTTTGTAAGACCGAGGATTCCATCTTTTAAATTTACTACCCCCAGCAAGAGTCATAGAAAGGAACATATCTATATTCTTTTGTTTTTTGACAATTATTGCATTCATGGCAAGTATCTAAATATTTATTCAATAAGAAAAAGATCCATCTTTTCTTAGAAAACATGCCAAAAGGAAATGCTGTTGGCCCTGATCTTGGATCTACATATTCCTGCAAAGACACACCCCACTGCAATAAAAGGGAGTAGTGCATGCATCAGAATTACTGCAAAAAAAAATTGCCTTTCCTGACACAGAATTAGTGATCAAAATCAAAATTGTGAACCTCACCAATTGTAGTTTTTGATGCTATACATCTGAGTGGAAGCAAATTTGACAGTGTAGTTGTCCAATTAGACATGGAGCATTAACTGCTCATTGCGATGAAGAAGGCAGGATATCTTATGTGGAGTTAGAGAATGGCTTAGATGAAGTACAAGGGCAGAGTTATAGACTTTTTTAAAGGGTAGTTTTATAATGGTTCTGACAAAAATGAAAGAAAGCACAAAAATCTCTCTTTGGAAAACACAGATGCTGTCATCTTCATACCAGCTATTTTTTTTTTGTTAATGACCTCTAGCTTAACTTCCAAACATACTAAAACCATCGCTAGTTTTATGTGCTCAGAGACATCAATGAGCCAATACCATTGATTTTGCTTATGGCTTGGTGCCAAAAGAAATGTGCTGTATTTGATATATCCATTCTCACTATTAAAGAGGTTATCTATCAAATCTACATCTGAGGACATCTACATTGATGCAGGAAATTTTGATTAATGAAGCTCCCTCATCACAAAGTAAAATGAAGCACACAGTGACATTAGTGAGAAAACTAGGGCTGTCAGTTTTCTCTATATTGTCTGTGAAGTTGCTAAGCTCAGCGTTTCTTACAACATCTGGGCCACAACTGATACCGAGCTCCTCTGTGAAGGGATTTACTTCTGGACCCTTATCACTCCACCCTTATCCAATTCTATGTACTTTTTCCACTTCCTCTTAATATCTGGATAAACATAGACTTGTGGTAGCAATTGCACTGAACAAAGAGAATATTTAGTTTTCCTTCAGTTCTAAATATAGACTGCATGAAAATAACTTCACATAGTATAGGAATATAACGAAAACTCATTTTCTGTTTGAATTAGCCATTTCTGTTTGAATTTTTCCCATGGATAGCATTTAAGGACACTGACAAACACTGCATAGAATTTTACAACCAGATATCTGTGAGAAATTGTGATTTATTTTCCCTACCGAGATATACTATACCCCAAACCCAGATAAAGTGTCAGAATTTAATAGAAATGCATACTAGAATCAACAAAAGTGAGTACAATGATGCTTCTTGAAGGTTCATGATAACATGATAACCCTTTCCCTAATAATGTATGTTAATATGTAGGTGTGTGTGTGTGTGTGTGTGTGTGTGTGTGTGTTGGGGGGTGTGGCGATGCAGAATAATCTTCTTAGAGCTGAACTCTCATCCACTCTCACATGGTTTTGGTTTTCCAGCATTAACTTTGTAAGAGGTTCTTTTCATTCATTCTTTTTTCCTCTTTTTTTTTTTTTAATTCTGGGGAATTTGTTGACATAGTGCCTTCAATAACCCTAGCCCCTAAATATTATTTATTTCCTTACATTCACTGGTAGTGTTAGTAAATAGAAAAGTCATATTTTTCTGAATATTGGTTATAACTTGTTTGGCTATAATGTATCCAACACATTTTACTGTGATATGAAAAAAATAATAAAATTATTATGTGTCAATTTAGAATCTGCTTTTTCCCAAATTTATTGATAATGCTTTTCTGAACCCCTTCAAATTTAACTAAATTTTAAAGATATACCTCCAGGTAGTACATAATCCTGAATATAGTGGAATATCTGCAAACACAAGTCTTTGCAAAGAGGCCTGAGTTTCAGCAATTTTCCATGGCACCTCTAAATTTTGAAAAACTCATTGTATAAATGAATGTGTTTATCCACTTTCCTACTCTAAGAGTATCTGCTAAACTGAAACTGAACTAGCTTCCTACTAAGCAATCTAGGGCATTCTGTATATAACAGAATTTAAACAAACCAATCTTTTGCAATAATCTGCACACATATTAATTTTCTCTGATTTTATCTGCCCTATAACAATACTCAATTAACATGGGCTTGGTACTTTGAGATAATACTATTAAGTAGCAATTCTTTAATGAGATCCTTCAAATAATTGACTTTCCTTGACGAAAATAATTACTGTAGAACACTGCCCAATCATTCTGGGCAGTGAAAATGTTAGATGAAACTGCCACTCTAGCATAGGTTATTTCACATCTCAATAATGAAGGATAAAAAATGGCTCTCAGCTAAAATTTTGTAGGTATTGTAGAATTATAGGAGCTAAAGCTATTCAAATCAGACCTTTTGTCTTTTAATCAGCTAGTGTAAGACAGAAGTTGCCTCATACTGCCTTGCAGCCTCTATCTCCTGGTTTCCCAGGATGCACTAAACGTGTAGTTCAATTTAAAGTAGTTACCAGTCACTGGCTGAAACCACCAAATCATGAACCAAACCTTTAAGTGGAAGGAGCTAGTCCCTTTAATTCTGGCAACTTTTGATAGATTAGTAGTGTTGAATAATATTCAATAGCAGTGTACTGTTCAGAAATTCTCTCATCTCCAAAACCACTACACATAATTCCAAGTACACTATAATACCCCCATGAATAGATGGGCCTCTTCTTAAAATTTACATAATCCTAGTCCTATCAGAGTACACAATAAAACATTAATACAAATGTATTCATTTTCTTTAACAGCTCTATAAAGTGATTTGATAAATTGATTACAGGGTTTCTTATACCTTAGTTATTTGGGTATAACCTAAGTCCTTAGCAACTCCACAAGCTTTGTATAATTTTACTTCTTCAAAACTCAATTAGAGTTTGAATTTCTGGATCTGCAGAGAATGTCCTATTTGCATTTGCTTCCTTTTCCTAATACTACTTCTTCATTGTCTCCACATGTTTCTATTGTCATTCTACACTAATATTTCTATCTCCTATTAAAATAGAATAAAACAACAACTAATGAAACAAATAAAACTTGCCAAATATCCTTAAAAACTCAGCAATTTCCATGACACTTCTTTGGGTTTATAAATTAGGCAGCACCAGCACCCTTCTGTGAATTTCCTCCTGGCAGATTCTGCTCCCAGTAAGAAGACACAGCAACTTTACATCCCAAGGGTCTACAGGACTAAATAAATAAATGAGCAAACATCTCTTAAGTTGCAGTTTGCTGTTTTTCTCAAACAACTGGGAGAGTAAAATACATTTAATGCTACACAATTACTTTTGGGGGGCTACTTTTTCAAATGATTTATACACAAAAATGATTTGCATTTCTTTTGCTACATAATCTTGAGCTTATTCCAAATAAACAAAAAAACCCTTCACTCCTACCAAGGTCACACTAAAACAGGGCATGCTAATTGTTTTTCTCCATTTACAGGTTTCATTTTGGGGTTGCAAACTGTTGGTAAGGAAAAAGACCAAGGGAGATTGGTAGGAGTTGTATCATGTTGGTAAAGGTGAAGGCAATATCCATGATTGTAGTAAATTTTACTGGAATGGAAAACCAAGGGCTTGGCTTTATTTATAGCTGTCTACTACATTTTGTACTTATTAAAAAGTAAAATTAACCAACAACTAAAGTTCAGATATTTATTTTCAGATGGGTGAGGTTTTCAGTTTCCTTTGACTACATCTCACTTATTTATTTTATTATTTTTATTTCTGTCCTGCTGCTTGCAGGACTCAAAACAAATTTTCCTTTTTTTTTTTTTTTGAGATGGAGTCTTGCCCTGTCGCCCAGGCTGGAGTGCAGTGGCGCGATCTAGGCTCACTGTAAGCTCCTCCTCCCAGGTTCACGCCATTCTCTTGCCTCAGCCTCCGGAGTAGCTGGGACTACAGGCGCCCACCACCAAGCCCGGCTAATTTTTTTTTTTTTTTTTGTATTTTTAGTAGAGACGGGGTTTCACCGTGTTAGCCAGGATGGTCTCGATCTCCTGACCTCATGATCCACCCGCCTCGGCCTCCCAAAGTGCTGGGATTACAGGCTTGAGCCACCGCTCCCGGCCAACAAATTTTCTTAAACATATTTTCTTTGTCTATAGAAAGAACATTACATTTTGGTTTACACAAAAATTCAGTACTATGAAGTTTGAAAACAATGAAGTGAATATGAGAAATTTTCTAAATGGAAGATGTAAACATTACAATCCTTGGATTCTATTCAAGCTAAGTATGAGTTTATTAACCAACAGAATTCTTAACTGAGATGAGGCTGACAGGCAGTCATAAGATGTATAGAAACATAATTATTAGCAGTTTTTAATTAAATCATTTTGCTTCCTTCGAAAGAGTTATTTTATTTTATTACACGTGCTACTTTAAGCAATTTCAATCTCTTGTAAAAGTAAGTCAGCCAGGCGCGGTGGCTCATGCCTGTAATCCCAGCACTTTGGGAAGCCGAGGCGGGTGGATCACGAGGTCAGGAGATCGAGACCATCCTGGCTAACACAGTGAAACCCCGTCTCTACTAAAAATACAAAAAATTAGCCGGGCGTGGTGGCGGGTGCCTGTAGTCCCAGCTACTTAGGAGGCTCAGGCAGGAGAATAGCATGAACCCGGGAGGCAGAGCTTGCAGTGAGCCTAGACCCCGCCACTGCACTCCAGCCTGGGTGACAGAGCAAGACTCCATCTCAAAAAAAAAAAAAAAAAAGTCAATGCTCAATTTTTTTTTTCCTGCAGTTAAACTCTCAGCACAATTCCCTGAGTAGACAAAAAGAAGTACAACCATAGACTTATTGTTGCTAAGAGAAAGAAAGCATGGGGAGGGACAGATAGTTAACTAGACGCAGCCACAAAACACTCCTCACACACACACACACACACACACACCAAAAAAACCCACAAAAATATTGAGTAATCCGTCACACTTAGAGGAGATTTTTAAGGAGAAAACACTGAAAGTCAACAGAGAAGTGCTACAGACACTGAGGTTGAAGACGGAGGAAGCTGAGACGCCTGCGTGGAGTTGCTGAATGCCAGGACCAGCTCCTGGTCCTGAACAGGTTCTAAGGAAGGGTTGAGTGAAAGAGCTCTTGGGTACTACACTACTGCTGTGGACCTCTGGGATCCTAGCTACAAGAGATCCCATTACCCCCATAGGCATTCGTATTGACAAGGGGAACTGCCTGGAGAGTGGGCAGAGGCAGCTCAAACCTGTACAAAGTCCTGAAGGTTTTATGCATAGGGCTGCTACAGCCAAATGCGATCGTAGGTGCCCATCTTTCAAGGCTATCTTGCTCTGAATGACTCTAGTCCCTGCTGAGCTGGGCTGGGAGAGACAAGGGATGCCTTTCCTGCAAGACTGATCTGATTTGCATGCCCCCTTGTCTGCCTGCCCCTCCCAAAGTCTGTGACTGGCTGCTCCCACAAGAGTGGGCACACAGCACAACTTTCACTGCCCCACCCGAGTGTTTTGCCAGTGGCCTGAGAGCAATTTGACCCCTCTAGCACAGTGAGTGCTCAACCCCAAGGGATGAGACGACACAGCCACAGGCCTGTGCTCAACCCCTCACTCATCAAGCACACTGCCCAGGGATATTGAACTGAAATCTGTGGCCTGAGCTTGAGGCAGGGAGGTGCCTCACTCTCAGAACTCTGAGAAAAGTTAGGACTGGGTTTGTGCACTGGGGCACTAGAACTAGGCATCTCTCCCTCTGCAACACAACTCAAGAAAGGGTGTAGCCTGTTGGCCAGCCACAGCTTCTGTCCAAGAGAGCTCTGCGGCCCAGAATACCTGGAACAGCCCAGCACTCTTGGCACAGGATTTCTTAGGATAAAATTAGCTTGTTAAGCCTGCTCCTGGGAAAGACATTGAAAGGAAATCCAGGCAGGAGAGCACAAGCTAGGTGGTCCCCACAACCATCTGCTGGGCAAAACACCCCAGGCCATTGGTGCCACACCAGCTTCACACTTCCAACACACTGCAGTGCCTGGGGATCCTCCTCCCTTGACCCACTGTATCTCTAGACCACCCACAGAAATACCACACAACATACTTTGACTCTACCAAGCTCAGAGGACCAACAGATCCCTAGGGAGTTGCCGGCCTAATGGTGACCTACCTTCAGCTCAAGCTGCCCCTATGGAATGGGGAAGGGCAGCCCACCAGGGTCCCGTTTAGGGCTAAGTAAAGGTAGGAATGGTTCCAGTGATTTCCGGGGGTTCCCCCAAGGCCTAGGAGCAGACATGGTGAGGGGGTCATCTCTTGCCCCCTCTCCCTATCCCCAGAGCACTGCCGCAAATGAACTGGAATACAGAAGTGGCACGTGGCTGTGTGAGAGCCTCTCTGCTGGTCTTTACACTTAAATACCACCTGATGGATTGCACCAAAAAAAAAAAAAAAAAAAAAAAAAAAAATGCCTTCAGCATGCATCACCTGTGAAACCAAATGCAAGAAACTAGCCACAATGAAGGAACCCATACAGAGCTTTGGCCCTTTGAAAACACCCAGAAATGAAGCCAATAGACTATTCACAACATATGCCACAATCAAACCCTCAAGGGAAAAAATAAAAACAATAAAAAACAAAAAACCCACCCAAATGACAGCAACTTCAAAAAGAAAAAGAAACACCAGCCTTCTCAGATGAGAAGAAATTAGCTGTATTTTTAGTTCTTAGAGAAATCTCCAAACTGCTTTCCACAGTGGCTGAACTAATTTACATTCCCACCAACAGTGCATAAGCATTCCCTTGTCTCTGCAGCTCCTCCAACATCTGTTGTCTTTTGACTTTTTAATAATAGCCATTTTGACTAGTGTGAGATGGTTTCTTCTTGTGGTTTTCAGGTATTTTTTTCACATGCTTCTTGGCTGCTTGTATGTCTTCTTTTGAGAGGGATCTATTCATTTCTTGCCTGTTTTTTAATGGAATTATTTTTAAGGTTTTGCTTATTGGTTTATTTAAGTTTCTTATAGATTTTAGATATTAGACCTTTGTCAGATATAATACATAGTTTGGTAATATTTTCTCACATTCCGTAGATTGTCTGCTTATTCTTTTTATAATTTATTTTGCTGTGCACAAGAACGTTGGCAATTCAAATAGTCATAGCATTTCTTTACCTCCAAAGGATTCCACAAGCTCTCCAGCAATAGATCCTAAACAGATTGAATTGCCTGAGACAAGAGACATAGAATTCAGAGTCTGAATGGCAACTAAATTCAAGAGAAAGTTGAAACCCAATAGAAGAAAGCCAGTAAAATGATCCCAGAGCTAAAAGATGTTATAGCCATATTAAGGAAGAACCAAACTGAATGTGTTTGGAATTTAAAAATTCACTATAGGCATCTCAAATACAACTAGAAACCTTAGCAACACACTAAACCAAGCTGAGGAAAGAATTTCAGAACTCAAGGATGAGTTCTTTGACTCAATTCAGTGAGAAAATAATAAAGAAAAAATAACTTTAAAAATGAACATAATCGTCAAGAAACATGAGATTATGTAAAAACACCAATTCTGTGACTCACTGGCATTTCTGAGAGAGAAGGAGAAATAATAAGCAAATTGGAAAACATATCTGAGGATATAGGTCATGAAAATTTCCCCAATTGTGCTAGAGAGGTCAACATACAAATTCAAGAAATTGAGAGAACCCCTGTGAGATACAATATAAGATGATCATCACCAAGACACATAGTCATCAGATTCTCCAAAGTCAATGTGAAAAAAACATCTTAAAAGCAGCAAGAGAAAAGGGTCAGATCACTTACAAAAGGAACCCCATCATGCTAACAGTGGATTTCTTAGCAGAAACCTTACAAGCCAGAAGAGATTGGGAGCCTATTATTAGCATCCTTAAGGAAAATAAATTTCAACCAAGAATTTCATATCCTGCCACACTAAACCTCATAAATGGAGGATAAACAAAATACTTTCCAGACAGCAAATGCTAAGGGAATTTGTTCCCACTAGGTGAGTCTTACAAGAGAGCCTTAAGGAAGTTCTAAATATGGAAGCAAGAGAACGATACCTGCTACCACAAAAACCCACTTAAATACGTAGCTCACAAATCGCATAAAGCAACTACACAATAAGGACTATGAAGCAACCAGACAAAAACATCAAAAAAAACCCCCTCACATAGCAATATTAATCTTGAATTTAAATGGTCTAAATGCTCCACCTAAAAAGCACCGAGTGATAAGTTGGGTAGAAAAACAAGACCCAATTGTCTGCTGTCTTTAAGAGATCCATCTCACATGTAGCCATACCCACAGGCTCAAAGTAAAGGAATGGAGAAAGATCTATCATGCAATGGAAAACAGAAGAGAGCAGGGGTCATGATTCTTATACCAGATTAAACAGACTTTAAACCAACAATAGTAAAAAGGACAAAAAAGACAATATGTAACGATTAAAGTTTCGATTCAGCAAGAAGACTTTACTAATTATATGCACACTCAACATTGGAGTATCCAGATTCATAAAACATGTGATTTCAGACCTATGAAAAGATTTACACAGGCATGTAATAACAGTGGGAGACTTCAACATGTGTTACATATATACCATTGAATACAACATAGCTATAAAAAAACAAAATTATGTCCTTTGCAGCAACATGAATGTAGCTAGAGGCCATTATCCTAAGTGAACTAATGCAGAATTGGAAAATCAAATACTCCATGTTTTCACTTACAAGTGGGAGCTGAACATTGGGTACACATGGACAAAAGATGAGAACGATAGACACTGAAGACTATAACTAGGGAAGGGGAGGCTCAAGGGTTGAAAAACTATCTATTGGGTGCTAGGCTTACTACCTGGGTGATGGGTTCAATTATACACCAAATTTCAACATCACACCATATATCTTTTTTTTTTTTTTTTTTTTTTTTTGTGAGATGGAGTCTCCCTCTGTCACCCAGGCTGGAGTGCAGTTGCGCAATCTCGGCTCACTGCAAGCTCCACTTCCGGGGTTCACACCATTCTCCTGCCTTAGCCTCCTGAGTAGCTGGGACTACAGGTGCCCACCACCACATCTGGCTAATTTTTATATTTTTAGTCAAGACGGGGTTTCACCATGTTAGCCAGGATGGTCTCCATCTCCTGACCTCATGACCCGCCCGCCTCGGCCTCCCAGAGTGCTGGGATTACAGGCGTGAGCCACCGAGCCCGGCCTCATCACAGCATATATCCTTATGACAAACTTGCAGATATGCACCCTGAATCTAAAATAAAAGTTGAAAAGAAGAAATAAAACCAAAATCAAAGTGTTTAGTATATATTTAAAGCTTTATATCTAAATATGGTATTAATTGATATGCTTTATTATCTACTTGATTTTTATTATCTTACATGAACTTTCTACACATTGACTTCTCTCTGATAGTTCTCATGCAATTTTCTGTGATAATAAACATGTTTATGCTTATTAATTACTAAGGACATTATTACAGTGGAAATTATCATAGCTAGAACTCAAAATCAAATGCATATATTCTATTTTTAAAAACTGTTTTCCAGGGCCAGGTGCAGTGGCTCACGCCTGTAATCCCAGCACTCTGGGAGGCCAAGGCAGGCGGATCTTGAGGTCAGGAGATCGAGACCATCCTGGCTAACACGGTGAAAGCCTGTCTCTACTAAAAATACAAAAAAATTAGCCGGGCATGGTGGCGGGCACCTGTAGTGAGCTACTCAGGAGTAGTCAGCTACTCGGGAGGCTGAGGCAGGAGAATGCCTTGAGCCCAGGAGGCAGAGCTTGCAGTGAGCCGAGATCGCGCCACTGCATTCCAGCCTGGGCGACAGAGCGAGACTCCGTCTCAAAAAAAATTGTTTTCCATGGGGATACTGGTTAATAATTCTGAAACCATTATACATATATACTAGAATTAAACAATTAAATAAATGATTGGCAGATAGTAGAAGCCAGGTTTGTTACTTTTGGAGTAGGAGGTAACAGATGAGCAAAGGGTAGCAGCTTGGACAATCATGGATTAATTGATTAAAGTGGAGACATCACTATGAATTTAATGTTTAGCTTAATACAGACACAAATGGTTATGCATAGGAATATTTCTAGATATGTATAAAAACTTGGGTTAGTATACACTTATATATTTTCTTGTTCTATGCCTTTCTAGTAAGAGGGACTAAAAATGAGGATACACAAGCTGTGATGAGCAAAACTAGCACACAGATGTTGGTTTCTAATACCATTTTCTAATGCTTTTACAGTCCACTACCATTACCTAACTGAATACAAACAAATCACTATCACATTTTACTATAATATTTCAAATGCAATTATATGTAAATGTTAGGTGTTTTGTTTGCTTATTTGCATATTGTATGGCAATAAAAGCAAATAGCTGAGAATTAACTTTGTATTAACATTACAGTGCAGAGTTAGTATTCATGAAAAATAAAAGCCAGGAGACTGAACTTTCCTTAAAAACATACAAACTCAGGAAATCCCAAGTAGATTTAGTGAGGGCTTGGGGTTTCCACAGGGTGGAAATAGGGCTTTAAACCAATTGTATCTGAACCTAACTAGAATGACATCTGATTCATCATCTACTTAGAAACACAAGAAACAGGAATATAGTGATAAAAGCAAGTCATGAGAAGTCAAGATAACTAAAATAGAATGTTAAATATGGAAGAAACAATAGGTTTATTTAAGCTAGAACTTTCATTATAAAAATGAGAAACCAAAGTTTCTTGTGAAAGTAAAACCTGGGTGGGCACAGTGGCTCATGCCTTTAATCCCAGCACTTTGGGAGGAATTTGACTTTGTGACTGCTTGAGACCAAGAGACAAGCATGGACAACATGGTGAGAACGCTCTAAAAAAAATTTTTTTTTTTTAAATCAGCTGGCCCTGGTGGCACATAGCTATAGTCCTAGCTACTTGGGAGGCTAAAGTGGGAGGATTGCTGGAGCCCAAGATTTCAAGGTTGCAATGGTGTGATCTCACCACTGCACTCCAGGCTGGGGGACAGAGCAAGACTCTGTCTCTAAAAGAAATAAAAGGAAAAGAAAGTAAAACCTAAGGTGGGCATGAAGAATGGCTAGGAGTTACCCATAATGAACAGAGAAAGAATTTTGAAAACAAAGAAATATTATGTTACAAAGAACTGGAGGTGAGAAAGTATACATGGTATAAATAGGAACAAAAAGCTAATATTTAGAAAAATTTCCAGATTTTTTATGACAATAAAATAGATGAAAGATATCTTTTATGATCTTACTAACATCATAATTGAATTTGTCTTCTCAATGCTGAAAGAGTATATCAGAAATGCAAGAAACATGAATAGATTATTTCCTAAAAAATAATTTCAACCTTCAAGACACCGATATATATATATATATATACTATACATATATATATATACTATACATATATAAAAACAAATAATTAGGCAGTGTATATACTATATCATATATATGTCATTCATATATAAATATTAATGCATACAAATATATATACACATGCATATATATCTATATAAATGGTAGAAAGAAATTTGTCAAGAAAGATATAGAGACCAAAATCTCAAAAAAGCAAAATAGTTCTGTGTGGGCAGACGGTTAACAGGACCCTTTCCTCTCCTATGTAAAGTTTTGATCTTTGATTAACTGCTTAGCCCTTTTCCTCTAATAATACCTTGATAAAGTGTTATATCAATTCAATAACTATGCAGCATTGTTTTTGATGAAAAGACATCTGATGAGAAAACTGCATCTGGCCTAGAGGAAGCAAAAATACTTGACAGTAGCCATAGCTTTGAGTTCCTCTGGGCGTAGTGATTCCTATAACTGGGACTGCCACTTATGAAAGCCCTAAGGCTGTTTTTAGATACAGTGGCTTCTCTTAGAAATAAGACATCTAAGCCAGGGCTATTTCTGAAAAGGAATTATTGTAACCATTGAAGTAGATATTGAAAAATATCATAAACTTAGATAACATATACTTATCACTCAATTACTAATAAAGGAAAGTACATATATCTTGACTCCATAAAAAGAAGTGTCAATACAGAACAATGTGAACAAGCTTCCAACAAATATTTACTGAATCTCTGTGTCATGAACTAGAAATAAAATACATATACATTAATTTTTAAAGTATATAATTAGGATATAAAAAATGAGACAATTTTTTTGAAAGACAGCCGAAATTCACAGTAGATAACTTACTGCTTTCTTGCACACAAGTACATGGCTATAAGTTTACATACCAGTATATAATGAAGCTAAGAACATCACTCATGGTAAATATTTTATAGCACGAGAAATTGCTTAGGTAAAAAGTAGACAAACATATTTTTAAATTAAATACAAAGGCATTCCTTGTTTTATTGTGCTTTACTTTATTGTGCTTCATAGCTTGTTCCTTTAATGCCCTGATAAAGTGTTATATCAACTCAGTAAGTAAGCACATAGATATTGTGCTTTTTACAAATTCAAGTGTTGTGTTAACTCTGCATTGAGCAAGTCTATCTGTGCCATTTTTTCAGTAGCATTGGTTTACTTTGGGTCTTTGCATTGCATTTTGATAATACTCAGAGTATTTCAAACTTCTCTATTATTATAGATGTGACCAGTCTTTGATGTTCCTATTGTGATTGTTTTTGGTATGTCACTAACCACACCTGTAAAAGATGGTGATTTTTTTTTTTTTTTTTTTCTGAGACAAGGTTTTGCTCTGTCACCCAGGCAGGAGTGCAGTGGCAATTATGGCTCACTGTAGCCTAGACTTCCTGGGCTCAAGTGATTCTCCCACCCCAGCCTCCTGAGTAGCTGGAACTACAGACATACACCATCACACCTAGCTAATTTTTGTATTAGCAGAGACAGGGTTTTGCTGTGTTGCCCAGGCTGGCCTCGAACTCCTGAACTCAAGTTATCTGCCCAACTAGTCCTCCCAAAATGCTGGGATTACAGGTGTAAGCCACCACACCTGGACTTAAGGTGGTGAACTTAATCCATAAATATTTTGTCTGTACTTATTGCTCCACTGACTGGCCTTTCCTCTCTTGCCCTCTCCTCAGGCCTTCCTTTTTCTAAGGCACAACAAATTGAAATTAGGCCAATCAACAGCCCTACAGTGGCCTCTAAGTGTTCAAGTGAAAGAAAGAGTCACATATCTTTCACTTCCAATGCAAAGCTAGAAATAATTAAGTTTAGTGAGGAAGGCGTGTTGAAAGCTGAAATAAGCTAAAAGCTAGGCCTCTTGCACCAAACATTTCATCAAATTGTGAATGAAAATGAAAAGTTATTGAAGAAAATTAGAAGTCCTACTCCATCAAACACATGAATGATAAGAAAGTAAAACAGATTTATGCTAACATGGAGGAAGTTTTAATGGTTTGGATAGAAGATCAAACAAGCTACATTCTCTTAAACCAAAGCCTAATCTAGAGACAGGCCTTAATTTTCTTTAATTCTATGAAGGCCAAGGGAGGTGAGAAAGCTGCAGAAGAAAAGTTTGAAGCTAACAGAGGTTGGCTATGCAGTTTAAGAAAACAAGCTCTCTCAATATCAAAAAAAGCAAGGTGAAACAGCAAGTGCTGATGGAGAAGCTGCGGCAAGCAATTCAGAATATCTAGCTAAGATAATTGAGGAAGGAGAATAACAACAGATTTTCAGTGTAGAAGAAACAGTCTTAAGTCAGGAAATGTCATCTAAGATTTTCATAGCTGGAGAGCATAAGTCAATACCTAGATTCAAAGCTTTAAAGGACTTGCTGACTCTTATTAGAGGCGAATGCAGCTGGTGGCTTCAAGGTGAAGCCAGTGCTCATTCATCATTGCAAAAATTTTAGAATCCTTAAGAATTACTCTAAATCTACTCTGCCTGTGCTGTATAAATGGAAAAAGCAAAGCCTAGATGACAGCACACCTGTTCCCTAAATATTTTAAGCCCACTATTGAGACCTATTTCTCAGAAAACAAGATTCTTTTCAAAAATTATTGCTCAGTGACAATACACCTGGTCACCCAAGATCTCTGACAGACATGTAAAAGAAAATACATGTTTTCATGCCTGCTAACACAATAACCATTTTGCAGCCAATGTATCAACTTTCAAGTTTATATTTTTTAAGAAATAGATTTCATAACACTATAGCTGCCATAGATTGTGATTCCCCTATTAGATCTGGGCAAAGTAAAATGAAAACATTTTGGAAAAAATTCCAGATGACATTAAGAACATTTGTGATTAACTGGAGGAGTTTGAAATATCAACATTAACAGGAGTTTGGAAGAAGTTGATTCCAACCTTCATGGGTGACTGAGGGGTCCAAGACTTTAACAGAGGGAATGACAGCAGATGTTATAAGGCAGCAGCAGATTTTGAGATGACTGACTCCAAGTTTAAAAGTTCTTCTGTGGGGAAAATGCTATCAAGCATCATCACATGTTACAAAGCAACCATTCATGAAAAGAAGAGTCAAATGATGTGGCCAACTTGACTGTTGTCTTATTTTAAGAAATTGCCAGGCTGAGTGTGGTGGCTCACGCCTGTAATCCCAGCACTTTGGGAGGCCAAGGCAGGTGGATCACCTGAGGTCAGGAGTCCAAAATCAGCCTGGCCAACATGGTGAAACCCCATCTCTACTAAAAATACAAAAATTAGCCAGGCGTGGTGGCGGGTGCCTGTAATCCCAGCTACCTGGGAGGCTAAGGCAGGAGAATTACTTGAATCTGGGGGCTGGAGGTTGCAATGAGCCGAGATCATGCCACTTCACTCCAGACTGGGTGAAAGAGAAAGACTCCATCTCAAAAAAAAAAAAAAAAAAGAAAAAAGAAAAAAAGAAAGAAAAAAAAAGTGCCACAGCCAACCCAACTTTTATCAGCCATCATCCTGATCAATCAGCAAGCATCAACATTGAGTTAAGAACTTCCAGAGCAAAAAGATTATGACTCACTGAAGCCTCAGATGATTGTTAGCATTTTTTGCAATAAACTATTTTTAAATTAATATATGTACATTGCTTTTTATACATAATGTTATTGCACATTTAATAGACTACAGTATGGTGTAAACATAACTTTTACATGCACTGAGAAATCTCAGAAAGTTCTTGAAAGTCATTTTATTATAGTTGTCTGGAACTAAACCCACAATATCTCTGTGGTATACCTGTATATACATGTTCATTTAAAAAAAAATGCTAAATGGAAAAACAGCAATGTGTCAATAATGTTATTCTCTGGCTAGGAGATTTAAAATAGCTTTTCTTTTTGTGTGTATGCATTTCTTCATTATTTTATGGCAATATGCATATAATAGTTCAAAATAAACTTATTTCAGGCATATAATGTCAGTGAAAATTAAACCTGTAAAGAGTTTAACAATGTGCCAAATATTTGTCAATGGCAGGTAGAAAACCAAGTAGTAACTGTCCATTTTATTAATTGAGTTTGTATTATTATTACCAGATGTGTTTGAATGTAGTGTCATAAAGTCCTATGGAAATCAGGAGAAAGCTTAATTGCTACCTCCAGAGAACAGTGAAAATTTACACATTTGTTTAAACACTACCTCATAGAAATAAGATGTGCTTGAGTTTGGAGTCTTACAATTTCACAAAATATCAAGCACTTTTAGAACTAACCTTTTGTAAATTTTTATATTTTTTACAATTAAAAAAATTACAATAAAATTAAAAACAAAAATACAGTTTAAACATTCAAAATTTTATTTTAACTATATCACATAATAATGATTTTACTCATAACTATACTACATATCATGTACATTAGTTTTTTATACACTCACTGAGATTTAGCATGGAAATTTAATATTGTGACTCCTCAGTTTAGAATTATTTATATATTTAGGCTCAATATGTATTGCAGAGGCTTAATTTCTGAAATTTATGGCTACAGTTAATACACAGGTCATAGACTCAGTATCTTTTTCCTGTAACATTCGTATGTCACCAAATTAAGGATTAAATAAATAAATTTTTATTTTTGTTTGAAAAGCTACAATAATATTCAGAATAAATGCAAACAATGTATTTTTCCTATTTTATCTACATTTTTAAAAATCATAATTTATATCCATTTTATGTGTCATGAACATCTAGATACAAAAGTAGGATTTATTTTCTTGATGTCTACCCTCCAAGAGAGGTTGTGAGCATTCATCTTAATCAGGATACCTTTAGGAGTACATGTATGACTCTAAAACCAAAACATAAATAACAGAACATACTGAAAAACTACAGCAATTTTATATATTCTAAAATATTAATAAACCAATTGCTGTCCTCAAAGCAAAGTAAGACCCTATTTGTTTTTCATGTGGAATAGAAGACAAAATTTTTAGCTGAAGATGAAGCCACAGCCTGTGAAGCAGTAGTACCAAATACAGTCAATAGTGACTTGCATTGGACTTCAGAGAAGATTATCTGACAAGTGGCAATACTGCTATACTTCAGGTAAAATTACAGTCCCATTAGCTGAGAGTGCAACACACAATGTGTATAAAATTGTAAACTTATATACAGAGGTGATAAAAGAAAAATAGAAATCCAGGAAGATTTAGACTTAGCTACTAGGCTCTGTAAACGACATTGTAATTGCAGGATAGAAATCCTGAGCTATTAATAGAAACCACATCTACGGATTAGGCTCTTGGGGGACCAAGATAAGAAAAGAGACAAACAAAATAATATATGAGAGTAAGACAGACAGATAGACAGATGATTGGTAGATAGATAGATAGATAGATAGATAGATAGATAGATAAATGGATGCCACTTTCTTAAAGTGGCCAATTTAAAAATAATATTTTTAAATAAAAATAAAAAAATTTACTTGATAAGACTGGCCACTTTATTTCATGAAATCAAGTGGCCAGGCTTATTAAGAAAAATGATACTAAGAAGTACAACAAAATAGAGTATTTATTCTCAAAAACATGCAAGAAAATATAGGCACATAAGACTACGTGTGTGTGTATGTGTGTGTGTGTGTGTGTGTGTGTGTGAACTATTGCTGCAGCTTCTTCACTCCTGTAGTTCAGTGAGCAGGAGGGAGTGTTACAGCCCTTTCACTCCTGCAGTTTTGTGAGTTCCCAGTTCTTGCCTCACAACAAAGAAGAATGAGATACACTGACACCAGAGAGTGAGTAAGGTAGAGTAGAATTTTACTGAGTGACAGAAGGAAAGCTATCAGCAGCGAGAGGGCACCTGAAAGTGGGTTGCCAGCTGAGAGGCTGAGTCCAGGGTTTTTATGGAATTAGAATGGGGAAATGCATGCCAATGGGTTTATGGGTAGGATTGAAAAAATATCATTCAGAAAGAGGTATGATAGTACGAAGAATCAATCAGGGGCTGAAGTGAAGGCCCAGGACCAATTAGGGGCTGAAGTGAAGGCTTGGCCCAGGACCAATTAGGGGCTGATGTGAAGGCTTGGCCTGGGACCAATCAGGGGCTGCAAACAGGAATGGAAGTTCTCACTCCAGTCCATGGACTCTATCTGGAGCTCGTAGTTTGGTGTTCAGGCTTCAGACTGTTCTTGGCTTGAAGGTCAAGTTTCACCGGGGACTCTTCCCTGTGTGCCTAGGAATTTGTCTCCTTCCTATTGCTATCATTATTCAATGATAAAAACCCAAATATATTTATGATATAGAAACAACAACAACAAAAAATGCAATGCATTAGGTAGGATAATTTCTATGTTACATACAATGTGAAAAAGAAATTTTAAGACAATACCTATAAAACACCAATAAATCAGCAGAGTAAGAGTTAAAGTATGACTTTAAAGGATATACATTGAGTGACTTAAACATATGACTATTAGAATTTCAAATAAAACTCTCAGAGATTGGTTGACAGAAGTAATATTTAAATACTTTGAAAGATGAAGACTGAGAAGTTTGTTTCTACATGTATGGCATAATATCAAGAGTGTAGACAGAATGCTACTTCATTGAACAGAATATTTCAGATCCTCTAACAGTTACATTGCTGGAGGAGTTTCTATACTCCGATGAAAAATCATTCAAGAATGAGGGCGAAATAGTTATATTATCTGAATACAAAAGAAACAACAAACTAAAAAAATTGCCTTTCACAAAACTTGTAGAAAGTCCTAAAATAATGATGTCAGAAAAAGAAAACTATATCTAGATATAGGTAGATAAAATAAGTGAAATTGTACAGAGGCACTGATAAAATATACTGAAAAATAAGATTAGCTATTCATTGACAGGAAAAAAATAATTAACTATGTCGCTACCTTAAAAAAGAGTTAGAATGAAAACACTGGCCATATAGAAAGAGTAAGAGGAGACAATATAGTTTACTGACAACATAGACCTTGATGAGGTTATTTTCTTAGAAAGTGGGAATGAGTAAAAAGTACTAAATAAATTTAAATTTATATATTTAAAAACATATATTATCTAATATAGTACCTATATATTATCTATATATTTTACTTATATTGCATGTAATATAATCTGAAATAAATTTAGATTTGTGTGTATGAATGTGTATGTATGTATGTGTGTGAGACCACAGGGCTACCGAGTTAAAAACTATCAACAGTATAAAGATAAGAAACAGAAAAATATCACAACAACAAAAATAATAGAACAATGACGGCTATGAAAACTAAATACATACACACATTCTCTCTTTAGTGTATCAAAAGTTAAAGAAAATGTCACAAATGCAATTTTTTACTTGTATTATTTTTATTAATGCACACTAACTGCACAAACGTATGGGTTACAGTGCGATATTTTGATACCTGAATATACAATGTGTAATAATCAAATCAGGGTAATTAGAATATCCATCACCTCGAACACTTATCATTTCTTTTTTGAAAATATTCAAAATTCTCTGTTTTAGTTGTTTGAAAATATACAATAAATCGTTGTTAATTATAGGCACCCTACAATGATATAGAAACTAGAACTTATTTCTCCTATTTTATGTGAATTATAGTTGGAATTTTATATTCAGTAACAAATATCTGGCTATCCCTTCCTCCCTACCCTTCCCTACTTTTCTACTCCCTAATTCCATGAGATCAACTTTTATAGCTTTTACAGATGAGTGAGAACATGTGATAATTTGTTTTCCTGTGCCTGGCTTATTTTACAAATGCAATTTTGAGATTTTAAACTAAACTACACATTAAAGTAATTCACTTCAAAATTTGTAAGATGAAAGTAAGCAGTATTTCAAGAGAAATACATAACTTTAGGAACATTTATTAAAATAAATATTGAAATCATATCTTTAACTTTTAAAAAGAACAGTAAAGGAGTAAGAAGTATAAATATGGTAAATATTTTAACACTTGAAGAAGACAATTTAAAATGGACAAATAAATGATACTAAGATAGAAAATAATTTCTTTTGGCCGGGAGTGGTGGCTGATGCCTGTAATCCCAGCTCTTTGGGAGGCCGAGGCAGGTGGGTCACCTGAGGACAGGAGTTCGAGACCAGCCTGGCCAACATGGTGAAACCCCATCTCTACTAATAACACAAAAATTGGCCGAGTGCAGTGGTGCATGCCTGTAATCCCAGCTACTCAGGAGGTTGGGGCAGTAGAATCGCTTGAACCCGGGAGGCGGAGGTTGCAGTGAGCCGAGCTCGAGCCACTGCACTGTAGCCTGGGCAACAGAGCAACACGTTGTCTAAAAAAAAAAGAAAAGAAAAGAAAAGAAAAGAAAAATAAAATAACTGTTTTTTAAATCAAAGATGAGTAACCAAAAACGGACACATTTTATTATATCAAAAGTAACATTTGTCTGGGCGTGGTGGCAAACCTGGAATCTCAGTGCTATGGGAGGCCAAGGAGGGGAGACTGCTTGAGGCCAGGAGTTTGAGACCAGCCTGGGTAACATAGCAATACCCTGTCTCTACAAAAAACAAAACAAAACAAAAAAAAAAAAAACACACTATACATATATATATATATAAATTCACTAAGCATGGTGGCATGCACACCTGTAGTCCTAGCTCCTGGGGAGGCCGAGTGGGGAAGATCACTTGAGCTCAAGAGTTCGAGGTTACTGTGTGCTATGACTGTGCCACTGCACCCAAGCCCAGTGACAAAAGTGAAACCCAACCTCTAAAATAAAAAAAAGTAAAACTTATATGAATACTGTGTAAGTATAAAAAACAACAGACTAGGAAAAATGTAAAGTGCCAGTGACAAGAATAATTAAAAGAAAACCACTCTGATGAGGAAAAACATTTACATACTATCAAAAATAAATTCCCAGGAAGGAACTACAAAAGGCCAACAAACAAGAAAAATTATTGCAATCATAGAAACACAACATTTTAAACCTCTGAGATATAGTGACGATGTGAAGACATGGGAAATCACAAACTCCTTGTAAATTAACACATCAAGCTATTGGGCACAGTATCATAAACGTTTAAATGTAATACTATAGTTAAATGTATGTAGTCAATATGATATAGGAGTTAAAAAGAAATTGTTTAGGCAGATAGTGAGGATAAGGAAGTCCTTGGTAAGGTTTCTATTTTAATAAAAAGCAGCCCCAAATCATTTTTTTTCTAACAAAAAGCAGCCTATAAAATTGAGCTGCAGACATAGAAGCAAGCTGGAAGCTTGCACGAGTGAATGCCAGCCAGCTGTGCCAATAGGAAAAGGCTACCTCAGGGCTAGGCACGTTCAACATGGCGGCTCCATCTTCCGTTTTCTTTGCCAACCACGTGTACAGTAAGGAGCTGACAACATGGTGCTGGCCAGGGAGAAAATTCATTTGCATAATAAAAGATTAGGGTTGGGTGGCCAAGCTTCTTTGCATGTGCTATGTAAAGTCACACTTGATCCAACCAATTTTTGGGCCCAATGTAAATCAGACACTGCCTCCTCAAGCCATTCTATAAAACCCGGTTCACTTCACCAAGGGACCAAAAGACCCGCTTGGGCGGCCCTCTGTCTGCATGAGGGAGAGCTATTCTCTTTTCTCATTCTTTTGCCTATTACACTTCTTTTCTAAAGCTCACCACCTGTGTGTCCTTGTCCTTGATTCCCTTGGCAAGAGATAACAGACCTCGGGTATTTACTGCCATAGACAACAACGCCTCTTCAGATATACTATATTACTAAGAAAAATCATTAAGAGAACACAAGCCCATTGATAATACTAATATTTGTGCAGTAATTAAAAATCTCAACTAAAAATATAACACATCCAAGGGTTAGGAACTGAGGACATCTGAATGCACATAGCTTAACAGTGAAGATTGAGAACTTTGGTCAGTTGTGTCAACATAAGTTAATTTTTTATTTCCAAGAAATTTCTGCCCAACATGATAAAACCATAAATCAATAAATAATTTTACTCATTGCTTCTGAAAATTTCTGCAAACCCATTTATTTGAGAAACAGTTTGCACATCTGGGTAACATGTCTTCTGCTCAAACAGCTCACTTATCAGACAAAATTTTACTTATGAACATGCTTTAAGATTGTCGCTCCTCTGTGTCCACCACTTCTAAACTATTACGACATGAATTTCGCTCAATCCCACTCAGTTTCCCACTTTGAAAGACTCGTTTATAAAATCAGAATCTCTGAAAATAAGACACTGAGAAGAATAGTTTTGTTTTATTTTATCTTTAATTAAAAGAATAATTGTATACATTTATGAGGTACAATGGTTTTGATATATGCATACATTATGGAACGACTAAATGAAGCTAATTAGCATATTCATCACTTCACATACTTTTTGTGTGTTTTGTGGACATTTAAAATCTAACCTGTTAGAAATTTGAAATATGCCTTACATTATTATTAACTATATTCATCATGCTATGCAATAGATACCCCAAACCTATTCCTCCTGTCTAATTGAAATGTATCCTTTGAGCAACACCTCCCCATTCCTTGTTCCTTCCTTCCCCTCCCATCCCCCAGTCTTTGCTAAGAACCATCCCATTCTCAACTTCTATGAGTTTGACATTTTTAGATTTCACATACAAGTGAGACCATGCAGTATCTTTCTGTGCCTACTTTACTTAGCTTAATGTCCTCCATGTTCATCTATGTTGCTGCAAATGACAGAATTCCATTTTTTAAAAAACCAGGCCGGGCATGGTGGCTCACGCCTGTAATCCCAGCACTTTGGGAGGCCGAGGTGGGTGGATCCTCTGAGGTCAGGAGTTTGAGACCATCCTGGTCAACATGGTGAAACCCTGTCTCTGTTAAAAATACAAAAAATAGCTGGGTGTGTTGGTGGGTGCCTGTAATCCCAGCTACTAGGGGGTGCTGAGGGAAGAGAATTGCTTGAACCCAGGAGGCCGAGGTTGCAGTGAGCCTAGATTGCACCACTGCACTCCAGCCTGGGTGACAGAGCTAGACTCCGTCTCAAGAAAAAAAAAAAAAACCAAAAAAAAAAAAAAAACAACAGCAATCCCACTTCTGACTATATATCCAAAAGGATTTGAAATCAGCTTGTCAAAGAGATATCTACAGTCCCATGTTTATTGCAGCATTATTCACAATAGCCAAGGTATGAATTGTATTCAGCCTTAAAAGAGAAGGAAATTATGTCATATGCAACAACATAGACGAAACTGGAGAACTTTAGTTTTTAAAGCTTATTTAATTTTATTGAATGCCACAACTAAAGATCTGCTAGAATTTTAAAGTCCATGGCTTCAATAAATTTATTTTTTAGGATAAACTAAAACTAGTAGAGTTCATGATGAGGAATTTATATTGAACATGATGTGGAACACTTGGGACACTTTCTATCATATTTTTAAATTAGCCTCAAATCTCAATTACCTTTATTTTACCTGGATGATAGTGGTTCCTTCTGCTATTAGTCAATACCTCCAAAAGATACCAGATACCATAGTAGCACTTGAAATAGCAATGTGTTTTCTCCTAATCTCCATTCTTTTACATCATGAGCTCTTTAAGAAAGGAAACTTGCCTAATCCATCATCTCCACTAACATCATGGTTGGCATATTACATGTATTTCATATTTGTTAAATGATTGAATGTGAATAAAACATTTTCGATTTATCTATAACCTAATGGCTATAATTTTTAGTTTTTTTATCTGTGTTTACCTTAGAAATTGATGCTACAGTGATTCACATGTATCAGTAAGAAGAAAATAATTATTCATTTTTTAGTATAAACAGGATTATTTTCATTTTATTACTTTGTAAAAGAGGTAGCCAAAAGAATTTCTAAAGATAGCTACATTTGCTTAAAGAGAGACTGCTTTAGATTATTATTTCATTTAAAAAGTCATCATTTATAAAGTCTTGCCCTCTTGAATAAGAAAGAGTCATTATTCAATGCAGCTTCTTTAAGAACATTCAATAATAAAATAAGATTATCAGATATGCTTAATTTCAGATTTTAAGGGATTATTTTAATGCTTAAGAGTAGTGATTCTCAAACAAGAAATAGTGAGTGTATTTCAGAATATCTGGGTTTGAAGTCTAGTATAATTTTTTTAAGAAAAGAACTCTGCCTTATTACTTTATTAATTAATAAAGTAAAGAACAGTGTTTGGCAAGTGGTAATCACTTTTAACTATCATAGCTATTATGGTTTTATAACAGTAAAAAAAACAAAACAAAACAAAAAAAAAAAAAACCCTTATTTTGACCAGGCATGGTGGCTCATTCCTGTAATCCTAGCACTTTGGGAGGCCAAGGAAGGCAGATCACTTGAGGTCAGGAGTTTGAAACCAGCCTGGTCAACATGGTGAAAAGCCGTGTCTACCAAAAAAAAAAAAAAAAAACCTAGCCAGACACGGTATTGGGTACCTATAATCCCAGTTACTTTGGAGGCTGAGGCAGGAGAATGGCTTGAACCCAGGAGGCAGAGGTTGCAGTGAGCCACAATCCCACCACTGCACTCCAGCCTGGTCTCCAAAAAAAGCAACAAAACAAAACAAAAACCTTTTTTCAAATAACAATAAAGGGTATATGAGATTTTTATGAGAGCGCTTTCTAAGCTAACTTTCTAAGCTAAGTTTTAAGTGGTTAAAGGATGTCTATATTGTCTGTATGTTGAGTTTATTTCCCATTATATTTTATTATAAAAGTAAATATGTGTTTCCTTCTAGAAATTCAGGAGAAAATAGAATACTTTCTTCTAGAATTCAGGAGAAAATAGAATATTTTCTTCCAGAATTCAGGAGAAAATAGAATATTTTCTTCCAGAATTCAGGAGAAAATAGAATATTTATATGATGAAATATCACATATATACTATGAGTAAGCCAGAAGGGAAATGAAAATCAAAGATTTATTCCTGACAAAATATTGTAAATATGTTTTAATGAAAGTAACACCATACTCTTCTAGAACAACAAAAAACCATATACGAAAATTAGATGCATTTGAAAGTGCTTTGCTTTCCCTACCTGCTGACTTGCAGCTATGCTAATGAGAAAAAGAGAAAAGGAACTATTTATCAAATGGTCTCATAGTAACTTAGATGTTTACTTCACTGCAAACTATTTATCAAAATGGTACTTTATATTTATGTGATGAACCTACACAATTAATATCTATTTTAACTGGACAGAGAGCTTTCTGAAGGGTCACCATTGTATTTTATCTTACCTGTTCTTTATTCTTAGTAGCTGCTTAATACATTTTGTGAAATTAATAAAACTTTGTAAAACTCAAGATATTTTAAGCAAAAGCTGTGAAATATAACATAATTATAATGTTACACTATTCCTCTTTCTTTTCCTCCCCTAGAAAGGGATCAACAATCAATCCTATGTGAGTCAGAAAATAAGCAATACAAAAGAGCAATTCAGGCAAAGGAGGCCAATACGCTTTTTATGTTTTACTTTGCGCTTTGTTTTTAAGATTAAGTCTTTTTTTTCTGGATTTTATTATACAAAGATACTGCTTTGAACATATATAACTTAGTAGATGGAGGAGATAATATCTGAGGCTTTTCCTTAATTTACACATGCAAACTAACCTAAATCCTTTTCCATCATTGTTTGGTGTTTGATGGCAAGTTTATAAATTTCTGTTGAAAATTTTGATTAGTAACTTTTTTTTCCCTTCCTTTCCTTCCCTCCCTCCTTCCCTCCTTCCCTCTCTTCCTCCCTCCCTCCCTCTTTTCCTTCCTTCCTTCCTTCCCTCCCTCCCTCCCTCCCTCTTTTCCTTCCTTCCTTCCTTCCTTCCTTCCTTCCTTCCTTCCTTCCCTCCCTCCCTCCCTCTTTTCCTTCCTTCCTTCCTTCCTTCCTTCCTTCCTTCCTTCCTTCCTTCCCTCCCTCCCTCCCTCCCTCCCTCCAGCACTGTCTTTTTTGGCATCCTCTTATCCCCCCTTGTCTCCCTGCCCGTCCTATTTGATCTGACTACAAGCCCTCACTATTAAGGGTTGGAGACAATTTGTCCAACCTTTGACTAGCAATTTTTATTTGTCAAGTTTTAAACAGTTGTAAGCTGTATCTTTGTTAGTTTTCACGGCCCCTTTTTCAAATTTTTCTCCTTCCTTGATATCTTTAAAAACACTATTTTTTCCCTTCTACTAGCTGCTTCAATAACTCAGTCACTTGGGTTAATTCATTTATATCTTCCATTTTAAAATTAATATTTATATTTTCTAAAACCGGTCTTCAGCCTTAATTATTCTTGTTCTCCTTTTAATAACTGTAAGATCTCAGTTATTTATATAAATATAACAACCTCCCTAGACTCTCCCTAGATCTCTAGACTAGACCTATAGAAATTAGAAGTTCCTTCCTGTCTTGCTTTTTATATGTGAGGATGATGATATCCATCTCCAATTGCAATTTAAATAATATAATGTTAACAATTTAATAAGAAAGTTAAAAATATTGAGAAAGTTTCTGGTAATCGACATGTTTGGCAAACACTCAATAATTTTTCTTGTTGATCATGATTGACTTTGTGAGAAAAAATTGGTACATGTATTAATTCATCATTGCTTTTGTAACGTTGGGCCATATGACATAGGATAATCTCTCCATATTAAGACCCTTAACTTAATCATACCTGCAAGTCCCTTTTGCCATGTAAAAGTAACATGTTCACTGCTTACAGAGATCAGCTGTGTGTACCTTTAGGGGCATTTTTTATTTAACCATGGGTATTCTTTGTTTCTGAAATACTAACATCTATCTCATATGCAAAATATCTTCTCTCCAAAGACCCCCAAATCTCAACTCATTACAGCATCAACTCAATTTCAGAAACTCATATAAATTCCATCAGCTAAAAAGTCCCCAAATCTCATTATCTAGATTGGCATGGATGAGAATCTGTGTGTGATCCATACTAGTCAAAATTCCTTGCCACGTGTACACTTAACAAACTAGAAAACAAGATATATGCACCTTCAATGTCATGCTGTGATAGGCATGGAATACTGCTATAGATTTTTTTTTCAGAAAGAAGAAAATGAAAGAAAAAATAAGTGACCATTTTCAAGCAAATTCAAAATTCAACTGGACATGTTCTGTTAGCCTTTAAGGCCAGGGAACAGTCACCTGTGGCCTTTGGCTCCACCCTTCTGGGTTCTCTTCTCTGCATTCTGAGCCCTAGGCTCCAGGCTATGATTCATTATTTATTTTACATGAAAGGTAGCACATGTTGGCAGCTGTGTAATTTTCATGGTCTATTTTTCTGCCAGTAGAATTTTGGGAGTCTGACAGCCTTCTATCATTAGCCCTTTCTCTGTCCCTTTTGGTCCAAGCTGGCAGCATCTTGACTGGTGACTGGTATTACATTTTCAAGTATCTTGTGAATCTCTCATGTATGCCTGGGGGTTCATTCTGTTAGAAAAGGGGCTTCTGCACAGGTCTTTCCTAAATAGCCCATGTCTATATATATATTTTTTCTCCTGAGATGCCTGAATGGATCCATAAACCACACACGTAATCTCTTCCAAGAGTCTCCCATGTGACTGCAAAATGTGACCTTTTGTTTCTTCTGAGATCCTAGAGAAAGTTTGTTCAGGCAAACTCTTGGCTTTCTACACTCTTCCCTGACAGTGAGTCTCCTAATTTTAGTTCTTTTGCAATCTGGATAGGCTGTCTCTAAAAGCAGGTTCAGGATACCTTTTTTTTTTTTTTTTTTTTTTTAACAGTTCTTCTCCCAACTTCTCTCTCTATACTTGCATTTAACTATAAACAGTAAGATAAAATCAGGTCTCACCTTCAGCACTGTGCTGGGAAATCTCCTCAGCTAAATATATAAGTCCATCTCTCACAAGTTATGCTTTCCAAACAACTATAGGACAAATATCAGCTGGGCTTTCTGACATGGTATAACAACAATCCACTTTCCTCACATTTCCCAGAACATGTTCCTCATTTCCTTCTCAGTCCACATCAACAGCGTCTTTAACAACATACTTCTAGGAGTCTATTTATGATAATGTAAGTACTCTATATGAAAAACAGGTTTCTCTACCATGCTCCTCACTGCCCCCTGGGAACTCACTAGCAGCACCCTTAATATCCACATCTCTACCAGCAGACTGTTTTTGATAATGATGTTTCTTTCTAAAATGATATATAAGTTTTTATTCCCATATTCGTCACTTACTTTTGAGCCCTCACTGGAGGTATTTGATATTCATATTTTCACCAGTAGTCTGAGAAAACCATACCAGGCTTTTGCTATGATGCTTCTTGAAATTCTTAAAGTCTTTTACTCATCACCCAATTCTAAAGCCACCTGTATATTTTAGATATTTGTTACAACAAAACCCTACTTCTGATGTCAAATCTGTATTAGCTTATTTTTGCTGCTATGCAAATTAACACAAGCTTAGTGGCTTTAAAAATCATGAATTTATTATTTTACCATTCTGGCAGTTAGAAGTCAAAAATCAGTTTGACTGAGAAAAATTCTAGTTATTAGCAGAGGCAGTTCATTCTAGAGACTCTGAAACTGGCAAAAATTATGACAGTGAGAAAAATCTGACATAGATGGAAATTAAGAAGTATCTGAGACAGGTCTCAATCTATTTAGAAGTTTAATTTGCCTAAGTTAAAGATTATGACCCATGACACAGCCCTAGGAGGTCTTGAGAAACATGTGTCCAAGGTGGTTGGGTTACAGCTCGATTTTATACATTTTAGGGAGACATAAGACATCCATCAATGCATGTGGGGTACATTAGTTCAGTATGGAAAGACAGAACTTTTTGAAGCGAGGGCTTCCAGGTCATAAGTAGATTCAAAGATTTTCTGATTGGAAATTGGATGAAAGAGTTACATTATTATCTAGAGATCTGGAATCAATAGAAAGTAGTATCTGTGTTAAGATAGGTGGTTGTGGAGACCAAGGTTCTTGTTATGTAGATGAAGCCTCACAGGTGGCCTTTACAGGCAACAGATCACAAATGTTTCAGACCTTTAAAAGGTGCTATGTCCTCATCTAATCTCTTGAGGATCAGAAAAAGTCCTAGAAAGAGTAAGGGATTTCTATACACAATGTAAATTTCTCCCACAAGAGATAGCTTTGCAGAGCCATTTCAAAATATTTCAAATAAATATATTTTGGGGTAAAATACTTTTATTTCTTTCAGGGCCTGTTATCCGTCATGTGATGTTAAACCAGAGTTAGGTTGGAATTTGGTATCATATTGCTACAAAGAGTCTGTTTTATAAGTCTTAAGATCTTTGTTTTAATGTTAATGCTGGTCAGTTTGTGCCTAAACTCCAACGGGAGGAGAGTGTAATGAGGCATGTCCAACCCCCCACCCCTTCCCTGTCATGGCCTGAACTAGTTTTTCAGGTTCCTTTGAATCCCCTTGGCTAAGAAGAAGGTTCATTTGGTCAGTTGTGGGGCTTACTTAGAATTTTACTTTTGGTTCACATAGGAAAATTATGACAGTGAAAGAAACTTGATGTAACCGACCCCATCTTGCTTTTAACCTCCAAGCTGCCTTTGTTCATTACTTTGCACAGGCCCAGGTAACAACAGGAGGAATTTAGTTTATAGTTTAACTATGAAATGAAAATGATAATAGCCCCTTCCCAAAACAAACCTCCTCCTGGGGACCAGACTGATTTTGTAAAACTAACAAATTGGCCACAAGATTAGAAACTATGGCTCAGGAGTCATGCATCCAGAGGCCACAAGATTTCTAACCTTTCCAATCACTCCTACGGATAATATTACTATTGTAAAATCTAAGATAGGTGTTTGAGATTTTTTTAATACCCTACATTCTGGTGGATCAGCTGGCACCACCCAGATAAGTAAAGTGGCTCCGCTCATTCTACAATCCCACTCAGGAAATAAGACCACAGAAAGAAAAACCTACTTTGACTCCTATGATTTCATCCCCCACCTGGCCAATCAGCCTTCCACACTCAGTAGCCCCCTGCCCACCAAATTATCCTTAAAAATCCCTAGTCTCCAAATTTTGGGGGAGACTGATTTGAGTTATAAAACTCTGCTTTTCTGTCTAGCTGGCTCTGCTTTTATTAAGCTCTTTCTCTATTGTGATAACACTGTTAGTAACTTGGCTCTATCTGTGCAGTGGGCAAGAAGAATCCATTGGGCAGTTACAACTCTAGGAGACAATCCATTTCCTTGTTTTGCCCATTTTTGAAGGCTGTCCTCATTCCTTCCTTCTGGCCATCAGACGGCCTTTTTTTCCCCCTCTCTTTCCTTCCATCATTCATTGTTTTCTTTCTCTGCCTCTTTCTCTGCTATCTCCTTATAAAGCCACTGTGATTACATGGAGCCACTTGGATAATCTGACTCATCTGCCTTTCCCAAGATCCTTAACTTAATTACATCTGCAAAGTCCCTTTGCCTTATAAGATGACATATTTACAGATTCTGGATATTAGGATTGTGATATTGTGGGAGTGAAGAATATGTTATTCAGTCTACCATATTATATTTCAAATGTGACGTATTCCTTAAGAGATATAATTGCATAAGTTATGAGCCACAGAACATGGCTTTTCGACTACATTCATTAGTTCCACTATAGAATTAAGAACTGACACTTCTCTTAAAAAAATATTTCTTAGGATTGCAACTGCAATGAAACAGTAGACAATTCTAGAGCCCAAGTAATCACAATATTAAATTAATGCTAAAAATTTTAGGTGAATTTGAAAAAAATGAACATGATTAACATAGATCATTTTAAATTATTGATATGTAAAATAGCATCACACCTTTCCTTTTGTGAAAATAGAAAGTTTAATCAAATGTTGTAGCTCATCTTTCAAGAGTCTCCAGTGTCATCACTGAAGAAGTGCGGGAGATTCAGTTCCACTGGAGAATTTTGAGAGCGCTAATATTATTCAGTATAAAGAATCCTTTTTTTCCTATGCTTTCTATTTGTGTTCTTTTTATTGTTTGGCTATTTTGTAAAAAATAAAAATAGAATGCAAAAAAATGCACTCATTTCTGATGGGAAACTATTTAGAACTCTAATTAATGCAGGATCTTTTTTTTTTTTTTTTTTTTTTTTTTTTTTTTTTTTGTGACAGAGTGAGACTCTGTCACCTAGGTTGGAGTGCAGTGGTGTGATCTCAGCTCACTGCAACCTCTGCCTCCTGAGTTCAAGCAATTCTCTTGATTCAGCCTCCCAAGTAGCTGGGATTACAGATGTGCACCACCACGCCCAGATAATTTTTTTTTGTATTTTAAGTAGAGATGGGGTTTCACCATGTTGACAAGGCTGGTCTTGAACTCCTGATTTCAGGTGATCCACCTGCCTTGGCTTCCCAAAGTACTGGGATTATGGTGTTAGCCACCTCACCTGGTCTAATTAATACAGGATTTGATGTGAGTATACCAAATACCCCCCATCATCTGTTAACAAATTAATGAAAACAAGACATGACCATTGAAAGGATTCCAAGCAATATAACAGAAGAATGCTGGAGGCATTTTAGTATTTTACATTAACTGTAACTTCAAAACACATCTTAAATGGAGACGTATTTAAGGTGGACTGAAATTCCCTTAAGGGATTAAAATGTGATAATAACCTGAAAATTTTTTAACAAAGTTATTAAAATTAAATAATTCAATCACTTAATTTAGTTAAATAATTTAATCATTTAATTTACTTAAATAATTTAATTATTTAAAATAATTAAAATAAACCATTACTACTTTTTCTAGTTATTTAAATAAATGCTTAAATAACTTATTTTATTTATTTATTTTTCCTGATTAGCAGTATGAGGTTTAAGGAAATCTTTTCTCACCTTGGCCAAAAATCATTGAATCCCAATACTGGTATTAGTCTAAAAATTGTATACTTGTGAATTTAATCTTATTTGAAAGTATTACCATTAGATTTGAAAGTATTATTAAAATGCCAAGGCAATGACATATTTTATATAATAAAATATTTGATAAGCTATGTGGTAATAATTTCACTAAAGTGGATGTGATATCTTTTCCTCATGTTGTTGTTGTCCTTTCCAGGAAAAAAATAATAGACTCCATAGATTTTATAAAATTGCTTATATAATTTAGGAAAAAGAAGATTCTCTCTACAAAATCAATATATTCAGACCAAGAATTCACTCTTAAATTCATACACACTATCAATCTTTAAATCTTGTTCATGTCACCTCCAAATTATAGCTCTGGGGGAATCGCTACCTTTCAGTTTTAACCATTTTAGAAAAGTCACAATCATTCTTGTTTAGGTGAATACATTGGGCTAGCTTCTCCGCTTTCTTCTCCACCCTCTCCACTGAGCAGATAGAGAAATCTTATTTAAAAATGAAATTATGCGATTTTTCAGCTTAAATTAACGGTTTTTCATTACACTTAGAAAGAAATTAAAACCTTTTCATAATGGTTACCTTTAGGTGTCAGCTTGACTGGGCCAAGGGATAACCATATGGATGGTAATACATTATTTCTGTGTGTGTCTGTGAGGGTATTTCTGGAAGAGATTAGCGTTTGAATAGGTGGAAAGAGCAAAGAGGATTATTTCCACCAATGTGAGTGCACTATCCAATCCACTGAGGCCCAAATAGGACAAAAAGTGAAGGAGAAGCAAATCCACCCTCTGCCTGAGCTGAAACATGCCTCTTCTCTCAGGCCTTTGGGTTCCAGTGAATTACACCACTGGCTTTTCTGGTTCTCCAGCTGGCAGAAGGCAGATTATGATTGTGGAACTCTCGGCCTCTTAATCGTGTGTGCCAGTTACTATAATAAGCCTCCTCTTATATATATCTGTAGATATCCTTTTTGTTCCGTTTCTCTGAAGAACCCTGACTAATATATTTTTACCATGACCTATAAATAATTGCAGGATCTAACCCAATTCAGTGATTTCATTGCTTAGATCATCCACACTCATTCACTCTTTTGTAATCACAATGACCTTTGGCAGTTCCTAGAACAAACATGCCACATTCTTCACATTTCAAAGCCTTTGCATTTATTATTCACTCTCTGCCAAACATTTTTCCACTGCCACCTGGCATGGCTGGCCCCTAGCATCCTGCAAGTTTCAGATGAAACATCATCCCTCCTGGAAGACCATCCTTTTGGTTATTCTGTATCAGAGTCACAGCATTTCCCTCACAGCACTTAAATACCCCATATTTATTTAGAGTCTTTTTTTTTTTTTATGTTTCCTGCATGAGAGTGTAATTTGACTCTGGCAAGAATCTTGAGTATCCTGCTCATTGTGTTACTCAAAATGTGGAACAGGGAGTCTAATGATTAAATTATGCTGGATAAATAAGAGTGGAGGAATGTTAAATATTTTCTTTGCACTTTACAGTATATTTTATACTAGAAAATATATGTCTCTTTCATGTAAAAAGAAAGATGAGCTATTAGAAAAGAAACAATTTTAAAATATTTGGAATATAGGGCAGAGCTCTAGAGGCAGAGAAACAAAATCAGACAAAAATGAAAAGCAAATAAACACATTTCTCCTTTCCTATTTGGATTTAATAAATATATTCTTTCGCAAATATGACCTAGCACTGGTCGAAAATGATAATGCATTTCTTGCAATGTCAAAAGCTTTAATAAAACCTAAGTAGCAGATTTATGCAGATGTTAGATATGAATTAAATCACAAAAGTTCCCAAAAGGTTTACGATCATTATATCAGCATTTGTCATATTCTTTTTTGTGCTTTTTTCTTTGCTTGAATATAGAGTTTCATAATGCTTTGAATATATTTATTTGTCAGTCAATACATATTAGTTACAAAGGGAAAATTAGTTACATGCCATAGTTGAATATAAACCTGATTTCATTATTCCACTGTTGAATACTTTTCAATAAGTTGCCATTGAGTAATAAACTCCTAGGAAAGTATTTACCATCTTATAATAATTGGCCTCTTATTGTCTCTCAAAATACCTGATGCTGACTTATTTTTTTGTTTACCTTGAAAACATACCTTTTATTGTAGCCATTTTCCTTCATTGTATCCATCCGCAAGCTTTCTCCTCATGATTCAACATTTAGCAGATGTTTAACCTGCTTTGTACAACCTTGTAACTTCCCAGGTGAATTGGGCTTTCCTCTCTGAACTCTCAATTGCATTTTGAATTCTACTCTATTCCCATCATCCCAATGCTTTCTTATTTTTATATTTCTCTTCCTTACAATTCTTTAAGCTATCTGAAAACAAACACTTTTTTCTCATCCTAGCATAATACTTAGAAAACTGTGTGTTGCAGAAAGGTTTCAGTCTTGAAATACCAAATTGGCTTCAACTGAAAACTAGCTTCACTCCTAACAGAAAAGCTAGCAGAGCTAGGAAGTTGCAGTCCGAGGGGTGGGAATTCCCTTAATGCTTAATTGCACTTCCTTAATTTCAAATTCTAATTAGCTTTAGGAAGCCTTTGTTGTTTCGATATTTCCCTTCTCATAATTTTTAATGTATCTGTAATTCCAAGAATAATAATAGGGCAGATCAGTTCTTGATGGGGACTCCTCACATACTGACAGCCTTGTGCCCTCAGAGAGCTCCTCAGACCCTGGCCATCCTGGGCTTAAAAACCCTCATGCTTTCTGTTTCGCTCTAAATCCTTTCAAATCTACTAACTGATTTTTATTTGGAGGCAGTAGTGATTCAGCTGAAAATGCACTATTTAGGATATAAGTTTTGCATCCCTGTTTAGTTTGAGAATTTATTCAATGGATGCCTTATCTTTGGATATAAATACTTAATTGAGATAGATTTTAGATACGTCCATTTTAAAATATTATGTCTATATCACAGATATCACAGGATTTTTTGTTGCCAATTTAATAAGTCAATAAATGTGAAGAATGCTGATGCAGCCATAGAACATTACGGGCAATAAATGCAAATTAGTCAAATGCAAAATTGTAAGATTGCTTACATGACATAGATGGAAAGTGTACCTCAAATTCTTAAGACTAAATGTTGTATCTGTAAAATTGTAAATAATAAGAATCATGTAAATTTCAAAATTAAAAAAATACTTTGAAGTCATTTTGTTTTCAAATTATATAGAAAATAGCAAGAAAATTGTAGTTAATTAGAAATGCCTTAGAGATATATAAATTGCACTGCTATGACAAAATGTATCATGGATTACTTATTTCTGAAAAAATATTCTTATGAAAAATATGCTTAATGAAACCATATAACAAAAAAAGATAATATTACTTTCCTCATGAATTATTCTTATAGGCATTTTCTCATAATCTAACAATTTAAGAACTATTCTATTTTTTTATTTTAATATGATTAATATTACATTCACTTTCAGATAATTACAATGTCCTAAATTTTATGAGAAGTATTTTTAAAAATTAATATGAAACAGAGGTTTAATTTTTTTGTTTTAATATAAATAATCTTAAAAGCAGTATGTTAGAGTTTTATTTTACCATTAGCTTTTCCATAACTCATGCTGCATATTCATTGGATTGCTTGCAAAAGAGACTACTTCTTTGTCAGGAATATATCTCTATGTTTTTCACTTAATTAAGAGGAAAAATTGTTTTCTCCTTGCAAAAATATACAAGACATTTAGAACGTTGCTGTTTATAGCATAGAATATGAAAGACACCTAAAGTAATCCTGATATGATTTGGCTGTATCCCCACCCAAATCTCATTTTGTTTTTTCTTGTTGCTGTTGTTATTTTATTTATAATTTATTTTTATTATACTTTAAGTTCTGGGATACACGTGCAGAACGTGCAGGTTTGTTACATAGGTATACATGTGCCATGGTGGTTTGCTGCACCCATCAACCTGTCATCTACATTAGGTATTTCTCCTAATGCTACTCCTCCTCTATCTCCCCACCCCGTGACAGGCCTTGGTGTGTGATGTTCCACTTCCTGTGTCCATGTGTTCTAATTGTTCAGCTGCCACTTATGAGTGAGAATATGCAGTGTTTGGTTTTCTGTTCCTGTGTTAGTTTGCTGAGAATGATGGTTTCCTGCTTCACCCATGTCCCTGCAAAGGACATAAACTCCTCCTTTTTTATGGCTGCATAGTATTCCATGATGTATACGTATCATATTTTCTTTATCCAGTCTATCATTGATGGGCATTTGGGTTGGTTCCAAGTCTTTGCTCTTGTGAGCAGTGCTGCCATAAACATACGTGTGCATGTGTCTTTATAGTAGATGATTTATAATCCTTTGGGTATATACCCAGTACTGGCATTGCTGGGTCAAATGGTATTTCTGGTTCTAGATCTTTGAGGAATCATCACACTGTCTTCCACAATGGTTGAACTAATTTACACTCCCACTAACAGTGTAAAAGCATTCTTATTTCTCCACATCCTCTCCAGCATCTATTGTTTCCTAACTTTTTAACTTGCATGAGATGGTATCTCATTGTGGTTTTGATTTGCATTTCTCTAATGACTAGTGATGATGAGCTTTTTTTCATTGCCAAATCTCATTTTGAATTCCTATGTGTTGTGGGAGGGGCCAGGTGGGAGGTAATTGAATCATGGGGTGAGTCTTTCCCCTGCTGTTCTCGTGATAGTGAGTAAGTCTCATGAGATCTGATGGTTTAAAAATGGGAGTTGCCCTGCACAAGCTCTCTCTTTGCCTAATGCCATCCATATAGGACTTGACTTTCTCCTCCTTGCCTTTGCCATGATTGTGAGGCCTCCCCAGCCATATGAAACTGTTAAATCTATTAAACCTCTTTCTTCTTGGGTATGTCTTGGTGCAATGACAAGCATCTGCTATCTCTGGTATGTCTTTATCAGCAGCATGAAAATGGACTAATAAAAATCCTCTTTACTTTATCTTTTCCCAGTTTCCCCATCACATTTAGTGATTTGGTTTGGCTCTGTGTCCCCACCTAAATCTCATCTTGGAGCTCCCTAATTCCCACGTGTTGTGGGAGGGACCCCGAGGGAGATGATTGAATTATGTGGTCGGGTTTTTCCCGTGCTCTTCTCAAGATAGTGAATGGGTCTCATGAAATATGATGGTTTTAAAAACAGGGGTTTCTCTGCACAAGCTCTCTCTTTTTTGCCTGCTGCCATCCACGTTAGATGTGACTTGCTCCTCCTTACCTTCCACCATGACTGTGAGGCCTCCCCAGTCATGTGGAACTCTAAGTCCAATAAACCTCTTTCTTTTGTAAATTGCCCAGTCTCGAGTATGTCTTTATCAGCAATCTGAAAATGGACTAATACATTTACTATGGCCTGATTTTCTTGCCTGAAACAATTTGTTGTTCTGTTCAGTTTAAACCCATTTTCTCACAAATGACAGTGATGGCAAGTTGTCTCCACACTGCCCTGCAGATATGTCTTTATCATTATTTTACATTCTCACCTGATCTTCATTCAAAGTCTGTATATATTGACTTTTCCATAAACAGAGTGTTTACCTTTAGCTATTGATTTAAAACCCTGACATCAAACTATTTTTTAGAGCTCAAAAAATATAAAACATGTTTAGTTATTTATACTTTAAGTCCTCTTTCCTTCCAGCTTATCCTTTACTAATTGATAGAGTTCATTTCATTAAATAAGCCAATTTTTAAAAAGTGGAAATCATGCAGTTTAGAAAATTTAAACCTGAGACTTGTTAATTGATTTTTAAAGTATATTTTTAATATTTTTAAAGTATAGATTTTTCTTCTGATTACATTGAAAGAGCTATTTCAAAAATATATTGAAAGAACAAATTTTGCAAATCTTCATAATACAATAAAAAATGAATACTATTAGAAATTAAATTTATTAGAAACTGGATAATTAAGAGAAGTCAGGTTGCATTTTGACATTTTATTTTTCATCTAGAAGTTTGCTATAAGGTCTGCAAGCTAAATAGTTACAGATAGTAAGTGAATAGAAAAATAGGCAGTAGTGTATAAAGACCTGGAAATTGTGTTTAGTTAGGTAACCAACAGACCTCTGATATTCCACTCATGTCTGATGGCTTCACATTTATTATTATGGAATTAGAAATTATTATGTCAAGCACCTCTGATTCAGTCTTCATGAAAATGAAGAGAAACAAAAGATCACAATAATATTTGTTTAGTCTTTGTAGGAAATAACTTATTAAGAAAATCATGTTGTATTTTCTTTTTTTTTTTTTTTTTTTTTTTTGAGACGGAGTCTCGCTCTGTCGCCCAGGCCGGACTGCGGACTGCAGTGGCGCAATCTCGGCTCACTGCAAGCTCCGCTTCCCGGGTTCACGCCATTCTCCTGCCTCAGCCTCCCGAGTAGCTGGGACTACAGGCGCCCGCCACCGCGCCCGGCTAATTTTTTGTATTTTTAGTAGAGACGGGGTTTCACCGTGTTAGCCAGGATGGTCTCGATCTCCTGACCTCATGATCCACCCGCCTCGGCCTCCCAAAGTGCTGGGATTACAGGCGTGAGCCACCGCGCCCGGCCCATGTTGTATTTTCAAACTACTACACTGGTATGTTTTATGTTCTCTGATCAAGGCAGCAAAGCACCAGCAATCTGTCTGATCCCAAAGTCCAGGTGGGCCGACAGCCCCTTCTGCAGAGACCAGAGGTGGGAGAAGAGCTTCCTCAGACCCTGGAAGATGTGGAACACTGGCTTAGATATATAGGGCTCCCCAAGTATGTTTTTGTGTCTTAAGATACCAGTTTACTTTAAATAAGATCAACAGGCTTCTAGGCTGTCCTCTGTTGTCCAGTGAGACAGAGGACACTGGAGAGAGTGCTGAGTGTCCTGAGAGAGGCCACTGAGCAGGTGCTGGGAGGTCCTTTCAGCCTGGCTCAGTGGGGAGTTGGGGTGCCCGCTTGAGAACGGAGGCACAGGGTTTAAGTGAGAGGCAGAAGTCATCAAAACTGCCCAGGTTTTTTGAAAACTGAGTGCCCAATGACTAACCAAGTTTACATGACTTGAGTGTTGAACTCAATTAATGTCTATATGTCACCTTTCCTAGTTCTAATCTTCAGAGCTTGGGGTCAGGGGGAAGGTGGGAGAAAACTGGGGGCAGTATTAAAAAATTATTTTTGTTTTCCATGACTTACAGGAGTAGAGTTTGCAGTGGTTACATATGAAAGCATACTCCACAGATGTAAAATGTATTAATGGAATTTTATTGTGTGCAGGCTCATTCTCCTAAATTGTGCATTTAGAAGATATTAGAAATATTTGAGATAACGAATTAGTACAAAATTAACTACAATCTTTTCCTTTCTTTACATCTACTTAGAATAATAAGGCTTTAACCAGGAACATTTAAATTTTGTATTATTCATTTAATCTATATAATTTCTTGTTTCTGTTGTTTAGAAAACAAAATGTGTTCACCATTTTTGTAAAGGTACTCAACAACTCCTTCAAATGGTGCCACAATTCACTCAAGATAAAAACCTCAGAGTTATTCTTAAATTATATTTTTATTACATCCCTTACCCAATTGATCAGCATATCATCTCTACTTTCACATATATCTCAAATCTTCCCAGGTATCATAAGTTAAGGGTAACATGAGGCCATTCCTAGCATATTTTACTTAAGATTATGTATATTCAAACTCAAAAATTAAATATTTGTTTTAACTGGTTTAAAAAGTAAATATGCCTCATTAAAATAAGGACACTGTAATTATCTAGAAGAGAATATAATGTGAGTCATATTGGAAATCCAGAAATAATCCATCTTATTGTCAAAATTACCATAATTTCTCCCACCGACTACAATAGTAAGTTTATAGCTCTTCTCATTGCTACGAATTTTACCCACCTCCTCTCTCTTGCTCCAAAGTATTCTCTAGAGGAGAGCTCCAATGGTATAGAAAATAGTAATGATCTCTATGCGTTTGTTAAAACCCACAGAACTGTACATAACAAAGAGTGAACTTTACTATATGCAGATTTTACAAAATGAACCAGGATATTGGAGAATCCCAGGAGGAAATGCAGGCTGTGAAAAATAAATCTAACTGTATTACTAATGCACAGCATAATCTCACCAAAAGGGGTTGGGAAAGAGGAGCTAATTTAAGTAACCTTGGAAAGGAGAATTTTGACTGAATACTGGGAGGCTAAAAACAAAAGAATGGTACATAAGGACCAACTTTCAGCAGTTAATTTGTTTCTTACATGGTCAGGAGTTAATTCTGAAGCTATATAAACACTGGAGTTGAACAAATAAATAAACTGGAGCTAACACAATGGGAGCTAAGTTTTGCACTGGCAGAGAAAGTTACACATATTAAAAAAAGCTAGAGTATATCTTGTGTTGCTGGATCAGGGACAGAAATATTATTTTGAATTGATGTTTATTCTGATATAGAAATAATAAATAATTATAAATAAGTATAGATATGTGTGCATACATGGGATAATACAAACACACACACACATGCACACACACACACATTCATATATCCTAGCTCAGTCTACAGAGATGACCTAGAAAGAGTGACAGTCCAGTAGCAGTGAGAAAACCTAGCACACACTTATCTTAATTTCTAAATGCAATTTTCTAATTAAAGGAATGTGGGATTCCATGGAAAAATGGATTATAGGGATGTGGCTTGAAAAATATAAGAGAAATTTGTGGCATGTTGCAGTGATAGAAAATAAGAAAAAATTTAAAAAAAAGATGAGGCCATGTCAAAGGGACACAGGAGCCAACTTGAAAGCTTCCAATAGCTAAATCTGGAACAGTTTAAGCAACGATGTAAATAACAATAATTTCAAACTAGAACTGAAATAATAAAGTACATATTGAGTCTATATGGATATAAATAGATTACTTATTAAATAATAAATGATTTATTAGATAAATCAATAGAGAAGAGATGAATCTTCCTTAGAGCAGAATTCTAAATGATAAATTTCGCAGAAATGTGGAAATAGAAAATCATGATTAGAAGAGTACAGTAATAATTGCTACAGGCAACATCCACAGGTGAATGCCACTCAAACTATCACTTCACAAATAATTATTAAATACTGTGTGGCTTCAAAATATTCAGAAATGTTTTTATACTCTCCTCTACGAGGTGGAGCTGAATTTTATTTCTTTTTAGCATGGGCTGGACTTAGTGGCTTGCTTCCAACAACTAGTATATGGAAAGTGGCGAGGGATATTTCTTTGATATTCTTTCCCAGAATAAATAATTCCAGTGTAATCCTGATACATTAGTCCGACCGTGTAATTTATAAAGCAAGGAGATGTAATTGGCTTATGGTTCTGCTGACTGTACAGGAAACATAGCAGCTTCTGCTTTGGGGGAGACCTGAGAAAGCTTCCAATCATGGTGGAAGGCAAAGGAGGAGCAGTCATCTTACTACACACCTTTACAAGGCCAGATCTCATGAAAATTCACTATCACAAGTACAGCACCAAGGGGATAGTGGTAAACCATTCATGAGAAACCATCCCCATGATCAAATCACCTCTCACTAGGCCTCACCTACAACATTAGGGATTACAATTCAACATGAGATTTGGGTGGGGGCACATATCCAAACTATATCACACAAGAAAACATCAGACAAACCCAACTCAGGAACATTTTACAAGACATCTGAACAGTCATGAACAGCAGGGAAGAAAAATAAACTGTCATAGATTAGAAAAGACTTGGAGACATGGTGACATGGTATCTTGAATTGAAAAGTTAAATAGAAAAGGAGGTAAGTAGAAAAACTGATGAATTCTGAAAAATCATTTAACAGTAATGGAGCGGTGTTTCTTAGTTTTCATTCAAGGTAACATGGTGATGGAAAATGTTATTAGGGGAAACCTGGTGAAGAATATATGCAAACTTTCAGAATCACCTTGATCACTTTTAAGTGGATCAAATATTGTAAATAAAAAGTTAAAATAAAAATGGTGTTAACAGTAATAGTTATTATTGTGTTCTTTATAATGTTTCCTGCAGAAACCTTGCTGTAGTGTCCCACCACAATCACAGTGACTTCCAGGCTTTCCATATAGACCCATGGTTGGCAGAACTGATCTCCTTCCCGTCCTAACTCACTTGCTTACTCTACCTGAGTTGCAAGGATGTTTTGCTGTGTGTTGCAGGCTTAAAGCTTTTAAAATTCCTGTTCTTGAATAAAAATTATCTTCTGAGTACCTTGCCCTATGAAAACATATATATATATATTTTATTTCCTATTCCTTCAACCTAGTTTCAATTATCTTTTAAGTTACAAAATTATAAAACCAATCAACTGAATTTTAACGTTCACTTATTTTATTATATTGATATTAAAATATCCTTCCTAACTTCTCATTTGCATACAAACCTAGGATATAATGAATTTAATGAAAACATATTGTTTTCAATTATAAAGTTAAGAAATAAGTGTCTAGTAATGGCTTACAAAACAAATTTGTTCAAAATATAATTGAGTTGATTATATATTCATTTTGTTACGGCTTTTAAAATAATGTACTCACCTGGATGATTTAAAATAGATGCTTTATGGATGAAAGCTAGCTCCATCTACTAGGGGCTCTTTATTTTATAGATAAAGCAGAAGATGCCAAAATAGTTTGTGGCAAGGATGGATAATATAGCATAGGCAACTTGTAGGAGTCTCAGGAATTATATTTAGATTCCTAGACTGTCAGGCTAGTTTACTATTCGCAGTTCCTGCAACTTTAAAAAAAAAAGTGGGGGGGAATCTTCCTTATAAAAGAAAATTATTTGTTCCACAGATTTTGCATTTTGGGTCTACGGAATTCGTGAAAAAATAAAAGTCATAGTCACACTTAAGGTGGTAGGACTAATCTATGTCCGAAACATTTTTATTGAGATAAATGGGTATAAAAATTTCTAAAGCAGAGACTTTTCACTAAATTGTCTCCCTCCATAAAAACACTTAAGAGTATTCATGAAATATTAGAAATGATAAAGCTGATAACTAAGTATTAAGGGAAAAAGCTATGTACTGCGTATTGATTGAACACAGAAGCAATGACTCTGTCTTTCGAACATTAATAACTTCTTAAATTGCACATTAAAATCCCATCTCATGAATGTATTATTTAAAACTCCAGTAAATTTAATGTTATCTCCAAAGCAACTATTATAGAGACTTAATGGATTTCTTAATTAGGATATAGTATAAATGGTTATAGAACACTAATTAAAATGGAGGGTTGGAGAAGCAGCCAAAATATGAAGAAATTATTCAAGCAATGATTTTATTAAAAAAAAGAAAGGAAGCTTTATTCAAAACATTTAAAGGAAATGTACAAATCATACACTTCATTTAATCAACGCAATGTTTTCCATGAGTATTAATATGTATTGGTTCCTTCTAAATATATATTCCATTTTACTTTAATATCTTGCAAGTTACCTAAATCATTTTGTTTTATAATTGGATTGTATTAATTATGCAGAGAAATGAAAATACATTTCTATGATAGTGGCCAAATTTGTTTGTACCTCTGGAATTTATTTCATAGTCTTATTTATTTGAATACAGATTTTCATTATAAATGTATCACTGCATTAATATTTTATCTGGATAACTTTATTTAGTAAATGCTCTTATCTGTAAAAAGTTGATGTGATTGAAACTATTTGGATAAGGATTTTGAAATGAAGTAATAGTATATTATTTGGCATTGAATAATTAATATAATTCCACTCAAAAATATCTACAGATATTTTATATCATTTATGTTTATATCTATTCCTTATTTTTAGAATGTCTTATTAGATAGCAATTTTATATTTTTTACTAGTCTCTGAATGGAGAAAATACTTTGTTCTGTATAAAAGCAAATCATTTTCAAAGAGTTGAAGCAGAAAATGAAATTGAATATAGAACTTTGGAACTGTCTTACAAAACTGAAGACCAGAAAATGCCACTTAAGGTTCATATGGGCTGGCATCTGGAACAGGAGAATTTTAGGGATGTAGGAGACCTTCTTTGCCTGAATTCCTGTGATTGTAACTTGCGTGGGCTGACACCTCTGCTTTTCTGTATGAATCTACTTCAATTCTCTCTTTCTCTGAACTGAATTTACCTCTTTAGTATTCCTGTAGAAAACACATCCACTTCAGCATTCCAGATTTCTCAAGTCCTCAGTTCAAGTAAACCAAGACCTCAATTCAAGTAAACCAAAATGATTAAAATGAATTATGTTTCCAATGCAAAAATCTGGCAAAAAGGATTTGATTGGCCTAATTTGGGTCAGTGTTCGTTCTTGGTACAGTCAACCATAGTCTGGGGTTTGGATCTTATAATATAAATCGGTAAGTCTTTGTCCGTCCTCTGAGTAGGGTGGTATAAAACAGAGAACGCATTAACTGTAAATTAAAATGTTAATATACTTAGATTTATAAGAATCAATTCTTCAATGTTTAATTGGCATAATTGACTTTAAAGAGTACAAGCAAGATAAAATGTTTGTGATTTATATTAAACAAATATATAATATTAGTATATTATGTATTCCATAATACCTCATTGGAGTTGTTTATGATTGAGGCTAGATTTGTTTTAAATGCAGGCTAGCATCAACACCATAATATTTTAAAGTGTTAAATTCATGTATTTTCAGAGTTGATAGAGAATATATGATAATTCCTAAAGGTTGCCAGTTTATCTCCTATTTCTAAACAGATATCAGTATCACCTTTTAACTTCTAATGAAAGTGTTATCACCAAGGCCTTTGGCTGTTAAACAACGGATTTTAAAATTATCTATCAAAGGGCATAAGTCCTTAAGACATTTCTAAGCTATATGTTTAAAAAACAGAATAGTTTCAATATCCTTAGGATTTCAATTAAAATAAAAATAATAATATACTTTATGATTTTGGATTTTAGCTTTTGTGTTGATTTATTTCAACCCACATAAAACATACAATGTTTTCCTCATACAAAATATATTTACTAATAAAATATCTTCCTACGCATTAAAAACCCAAGACAATATAGCCCTATAATGTTGCAACAAATATCAAAAAATACTTTGGCATCTTGATATTGTGTATGGCCTGCGTCTTGTCTAGTGAATGAAATCTCCACAGTATTATACTATAAGAAATTTCAAAATGAACAGCTTGCCTCTGAATATCTCTAGAGCAGCCTAGCCGTCTGTATTTTTAAAGCATAATGTCATTTCTGGCATACAAAAAATACTCAATAAATTTCATTGAATAAACGGATGAGTAAATGGATGGGGGGAAAAAAGCTCAAGTTTAAATCAGAACACGGATTACAGCAGTCATTAGAAAAGGCACTTGAACCTGTTTCATTAATGGGAATAATCACTTTTACAGAGTTTATCTGTGAAGAAAATCAAATCACATTTCTGAGCACTATATTTCTTTTTGGCACAAGTTGTTTTAGTCTCACTTTTACTTTTTCTGTCTTGGCCCTGGAATCAACTCTCTTTCCAAAGAGCACTAGTTTATTATAGTTATAGTGGAGAATGGGATTTAGAAGACAAAATTGGCCTGCAAGGTTTACAATTTTTCAAAATTGAAAGTTTGGGAAGAAAATCCTATTGGGTTTATAAAGGATTTTTCATAGCAGATGACACTGAATAAATAGTAAATAGTAGAGATTTTTATTAACTCATTTTTGTTGGTAGTATATACCTCACCTAGTATATAGAATATAGTAATTCAGTCTTCACAGAAAAAAATCTTAAAAACATAAATATATATAATGGCTACTGTATTTTATGTGATTGATATGGCTTGGTTCTGTGTCCCCACTCAAGTCTCATGTTGAATTGTAATCTCCAGTGTTGGAAGAGGCGCCTAGTGGGAGGTGATTGAATCATGGGGGCAGATTTGCTGTTCTCGTGATGGAGTTCTCATGAGATTTGGTTGTTTGAAAGTATGCGGCACTTCCTCCTTCACTCGAGCTCTCCTGCCAGTCATGTTTTCTGTACAATCTGAGAAACTGTGAGTCAATTAAACCTCCTTTCTTTATAAATTGCCCATTCTCAGGTAGTTCTTTATGGCAATGCGAGAACAACTAATATAGTGATTTAGGCAGGAATTTGAAATGTTAAAGGTAAATAAATTGCTTATTAAATGATTTTAAAGCTGTAGGCAGGGCTTGGTGGCTCATGCCTGTAATTCCAAAATTTGGAAAGCTGAGGAGGGAGAATTGTTTGAGGACATAAGTTCAAGACCAGCCTGGGGAACATATTGAGACCACATCTCTATTAAAAAAAAAAAAATACTTTGGGAGGCCGAGGCGGGTGGATTAGAAGGCCTGAGGTCAGAAGTTCAAGACCAGCCTGGTCAACATGATGAAACCCCGTCTCTACTAAATATACAGAAATTAGCCAGGCATGGTGGTGGTTGCCTGTAATCCCAGCTACTCAGGAGGCTGAGGCAGAAGAATCGCTTGAACCCGGGAGGCGGAGGTTGTAGTGAGCCTAGATTGTGCCATTGCGCTCCAGCCTGGGCAACAAGAGTGAAAGTTTGTCTCAAAAAAAAAAAAAATTGAAAATTATCCAAACATGGTGACATGTACCTGGATCCCTTGAGCTCAGATGTTTGAGGTTGCAGTAAGCTATGATTATGCCACTGCACTCCAGCTTGGACAACAGAGTGAGACCCTTTCTCTAAAAAAAAAAAAAAAAAAAAGAGAAAAGAAAACAGAAAAGAAAGAGAGAAGCTGTAGCTTTTTCTTGCTTAAATATTGGCTTTTTTTGCATTAGAAAAAACATATATTCTATATGTTTTAGATACTTACAAAACGTTAAGACAAGTGAAATGTTTAAAGTATCATTAGGTTATATTAGATAATATATTTTTTATATTTCATAACTCAATTAACTATATAATTTAATTAAATATATTAAATATTACAATATATCACAATAAACATTATATAAATACATACACATACATAAAATAGTACTATAAGAAATCATAAGTAAGTGGGAATTTAAAAATTTACATCTTATTCTGCTTTGGAGAATGAATACTTAGGTAATACGTTTTTTCTTTTGAAATAATCATTTGGATGATTTTTTTTTAATTTGTTTTCTCACGTATAGGTACCAGGTAATTTATATGTTGTTAAATATTAATATTTTATAACTTAAAATTTATTTTCTAATTTCTACATGAAATTTGTCTGAATAATTTGTATAATAAGAACTCTCCTGCTAAGAGCAACTACATCGACAGAAAAACTAAACAAAACCACATGCATTATCAGAGGGCAACTAAGACAACTAAGGCTTTGTGTAGACAATCTTCCAGAGGGAGGAGAAAAAGAAGAGAAATGTGTTGAGTAGTTCTACTTTTGATTTTTTTTCTCCCTTGGATTATATGCAGATCCTAAGCACTGGGTATGAAGGCCAAGCAAAAAGCCTTGGTTCTGGGCAGGATCTGCAGTCACATTTCTAGATTACCAGCTCATCCAGGACTTGAGAGACCAAGACCCAGGAGAAAAGGAAACCTCAGAGAGGTGAGCCTGAAATTCATGTGCCAATTTCCCCTGAGGATTTTGTCAATTCCTGAACTGGCAAGAAGAGTAAAAAACCAAAAGTAGCAGCTAAGATGGTAAAAAGCTTCTAAAAATTTTCAGGAACCACACACACACACACACACACACACACACACACACACACACACACACACACACGCACACACACATTATCCACCACGGAGGAGGACTTCAGGAAACCATTCCAAACTTTAAGTTGAAAATACAAAGGGACTACACAGTTGGATCAAAGGTGAACTAGAAAGGATTGGCCTTCACAAAGCTTGACTTCTAGTCTTAAAATATGAAGATTCCTGACAGAATCAAGCATGCTTGAGAACCCTGACTAATACATGCTATTTTATATATATAAATAAAATTCTTGAATATAATTTTTATACTTTTACTATTAGAATATTAATTTGAAATTTTTAATGTCCTTTGTCACAAGCCTTTTATATATTTTTATATGTGCCAAATTGATGATGAATATGTCAACATTACTTTTGAGTAATGTTTTACTGATTTATATGTACTTGTACCGTTTACTCCTCTTTGAGCAATGTGAAATCACAGATTTTTGAATGAGAAATTGACCTTGTCTAATTTAGGACATTATTTTATTTGCAAAAAACAGAATTGAAGTGTTCTGATTCTGAATATATTTTGAAGGTTTACTCAACAGAAGTTGCTGGTAGATTGGCTACGGGGTAGCAAAATGAAAGGAATGATGGATGACCTCATATTTAGCCTAAGCAAAATACACATGTAACAGAATATTCTACATCCTTTGAAATTATTTATAATAGAAATTTTCAATGACATTGTGGCATAAACTTAATATAATTTAAAAAGAAATATAGGATATATAATTTAAATATAATATGGACTTCATCATGTATGTAATTTTGTAATACAATGAAATCTAAAAGTATTTTAAATGTTTAGCATGAGTTATCACTATAGTATTGTGAATAAATTGTTTTATTTATTTTCATTTATCAATTGCTATTTTTAAAAGTAAGCAGTAGGTATGGAAATTCCATATCTGAGTATGTTTATGCATATCTATATGTACTACAAAGTATAAACAATAATACTATGTTATTGTGTTCCCACAAAGTATACACACATGAATTTATAAATCACATGCAAAAATATGTTAAGTATCTTATCCAGTATATTACACAAGTGTTACTATATATGCACACTTATATTGTAAAAAGTATGTTCATGTCATCACTATGTTTCAGTATCTATTCAGAGTTATATTTTAATACTATCAAAGAACAAGAAAACAGAAACTATCCTGCATTTTTTCAAATAAAAACTTCTGAATAGCAAGGACAATAAATTTAACCTCTGAGAAAGAAGCAAAACATAATATAAGTTTCTTTTCATTAAACGCAAAGAAAATGACAAACGCAGCTTAATCTACCTTGTGGCTATAAGCCCTGCATTTATTTATGCTGAACCTGACAGAATCAGAACTTTCTTTTATACTTTGAAATGAAGTGCTGAGAGGTATGAAAAACTACATTCAGATACAATGTATATGATAACAAAGTCAACATAAAATTTCTAAATTAATCTTATATCTATTCATTTCTACCAGTGACTTAACTTTTATCAAATAAATCAATTTCGAATATAACTATTCTTCACATTATAGTACTGTTTAAAGTATAAAATTATTTTGTAATAGCAGTTATTTGCTTACAAAATCAGAAGTCCAGACTTAAGGAAATGCTAAGAGTGAAAAAAAGAATTTGCTGGGCTATCCAACTACAAAAAAGGGGCATTTTGGCCAGCAAGGAGTTCAGTACCAGTAGCAGCAATGATAATACAAACAAACCTTTATCAAGTGCTTACTGGATGCCACTCATTGCCCTGATTTTCCACATGCAAGGTCTACTTAATACTGCAAACTAAAGGAGTTGGTACTATCAGTACCAAGTTTTTAAATAATAATTTTTATCAGTATTTCTTAATTTTATTTACAATTTTGAAAATTTTTGTAATGGTTACAATACAACAGTATAGGATAAAACAGTATAGGAATATTAGCAAACAAACAATCACTGGGCTTGTGACCATTACTTATGAATTCTGTTACAAAAACAGTTTGAAGGTCACTGCCATAAGCCATAAAAGTTATTAAAATTCTTGAGTAAGATGATAACTTGTATTTTAGAATTTTTTTATTTCAGAGTTGTTTCTTATGCTACCAATAGACATTTCGTTTTTAGAAAGAGAGCTCTGACATCCCCAAATATGTTCTGGATTAATAGTAAAATTTAGTTCAATCATTTTAATGTATAAACTTGTATTAACAATAAAAACACATTTGCCTTTTGAAAATTATTTTTTCAGCAATTTGAAAGATTGCTAAAGTCAATTTGCTCAACATTTCAATGGTTTTCATAGTTGAAACAGCTCACAAAAACGTGGTTCCAAATGGCAAACTTGACCACAAGCTTGAATGTAAATTACGTTAAAACAAGATAACACAAGACAGAACACAAATTAATCTAGCACGTCTAATCTGTGATAAATCCCAACACAATGAAAGCAAATGGATATGGGAGGCAAACCTCTTCTCTTAGGATAATTTACACACTATACTGTGATATATGGGCCAAATGAAGGGTACCGTGTCTACCTGCACAAAAGACACACCAATGAAGCACCCTCCCCATGTAACCTGTAGTTTGCAGTTCATTCACATCCATTCATTCTCACATCTGCCCTTTGCCCTATTTGTTTCCTGTACTGAAATATTCTTTCCTTACCTACCTAGTGAATCTACTCCATTTTCAATATCAACTCAAATGTCACCTCTGAATGGTAATTCTTTGTGCTCAACCTGTACTATAATCCTTTCCTTTCCTTTCCTTTCTTTTCCTTTCTTCCTTCCTTCCTTCCTTTTCCTTTCTTTCTTCCTTCCTTCCTTTTCCTTTCTTCCTTCATTCCTTTTCCTTTTCTCCTTCCTTCCTTCCTTCTTTCCTGTCTTCCTTCCTTCCTGTTTGTTTTAGACAGAAAGGATCTCACCCTGTTGCCCATACTGGAGAGCAGAGGCGTGATCATAGGTCTCTGCAGCCTCGAACTCCTAGACCCAACTGATCCTCCTACCTCAGCCTCCTGAGTAGTGGGGACTACAGGCACGCACCACAATGCCCAGCTAATTTTTTTTTTTTTTCTTCACAGAGACAGGGTCTCACTATGTTGCCCAAGCTGGTCTCACACTTCTGGCTTCAAGCACTCCTCCCACCTAAGCCTCCCCAAGTACTGGGATTAAGGCATGAGCCACCACACCCAACTAGTTCTGTGACTTCTAATTTCTTCCTTTCTAGGCCGAGTTCTTTGCATTACCACATAAACACAAACTGCTTGATAAGTGCTTGCTGTCATATTCACAAGACACACTTAAATGGTCAAAAACTAAATTATGAAAATAATGTTTCAATGTAGAAAAGTAGACTAAGAACTAGAGATACTCAGACTCCCAAGTTATTTTTTCCTAAAGGTATTCTATATTAAAGATATTTTCTTTTGTTGTTGTGATTAAAGTGGACAGCTTACTCAGCAACACTGAGCCAATTCAACATTTGATCATATCTGGATTTACTCAAGAGTAATGTCCTGTCGTTTCTTATCACCACCATTAGCACTGCACAACTTCTTATTAGCCTTATCACCCATTGTTATGATAAACGAAACACAAAACCATTCACCCAAAGCAGCTGTCTTTAGAGGGTAATAGCTTCTTTATCTAGCTGCAGCAATACTCTTGACTTTGACTAAAGACTGAAATTTTATTCTAACCACTATCAGACAAGGCAACTGCAAAGGTATTCTTTGTTTTTTTGTTTTGTTTTGTTTTTCGCAACTTCCAAATTCTGAAGAAAAACTTATTTTGTAGAAGAAATACCAACATTACAAATGCTTAATATTTCAGATAACTAAATCTTAACACTTTCCTAAAACACTTAAGGTGTCTAAATGTTTTACTTCTCTTGTTCATATTTGAATATTACTAATTATATGAAGCCTTATTTAACTTAATTTAAAAATAAACATTTTTTGTTAGGAAGGTATTAAAATGAAATTAAGTATTTTATTTGATGTACATATAACTGGATAGATGTTCACATGTTCTTTTGATATCTTAATTATCTTAATTTATAACTTAACTTGTTCCCAAATAATTTTTGAAGTGGTAATATTTTTTAAAAACCTCATAGCTTTAGACACACAAAAATCATTTTAAGATGACAAAACAGATAATTTATATTTTTTAAACATTCAATGAAAGTAATTTTTGTATTTTTCTCGTGTATCGAAAATATAGTGCTATAATTACAAAGCACAACATTAAGATGTAAACTATCTGAGTAAATATATTTTTGCTCTTCTAATAGTGAATCTCATACTTTTCATTTGAATTAATAGGAATTTTGGCAAGCAGAAATAATGTGTCATAAGCTTTATCCATTCAATCTGCTACTGCTCAAATAATTCAAAACTCCTTTTCTTGAGATGATTTTGGAACCTGTCTTTGTCTTTTCCTTTTTTATTTAATATTTTGTACATTTAAAATTGTATGTATATTGTATATCTAGTATGTGAAGAAAAATAAAGTGAATGTTGAGAAACTCAGTAATAATTATTTTGAGAATATTTTGTTGTATATATGTAAGATATAGTATTTAGAATTGTTCTTACTGTTGGAGTGTCTGTTTGTAAGAAGATGTAACTCTGATAACTTCCAGTTTAACCAATATCAGTGGGTTACTTTTATTGAAAAGAAAGAATGTGTTATATTCCAAAACTTTAAAAAGTGCAGCTAAGGTACTTCTATACTATAACAATCTATAATGAAGTTACATATACAATTATTTTATTTTTCAAAAATCAGAAAAAAACAACATAAACAATATCTTACATTAGAAATAAAGCACTGGAGTTATTCTAAATTTTAGCTATTTAAGCTATGCAATTTGTAAACAGCTTGAATTTCATAATAAGTACAACAAAAGGTATGCATGTTAAATAAGACATTATCTGGAATTAAAGACTGCTTGCTGATAGTAGATCACACCCACTTTATTCACTAGAATATATAAATTCAACTTATTCCTGGTTTATACCACACCTTGGGAATCATGTAACTATAGTCCAAGACACACATTAAGAAGATGCTATTTTACATTTCCCTGAAATAAAAATCTACAACTGTCTGCCTAAACAGTCTATTCTACCTTAGACATTTATATGTGACAGATATTTTTTTGTAGCTTTGAAATTATATTGACATTGCCTGAATTATGAAACCTGTTTGAAAGCCTCCAAATGCCTTCAAGGAAAGCAAAACATTGAATGGCACAACCTGGGCATCAGTTAACCTACATGAAAAAGGAAAAGTATGGTGATTTTCATGTTTCTAATCTTAAGAGTATCAGAGGTTGGTGATGGAGAAACATTTTTGAAAGGAGTATCCCTCCTGTTCACAGTATGGAACATGAAGTCAACCGTACATCCCTTTTGTTGGTTTCATCACTTTATAGCCTTGCGTAAACATAAAACTACCAAAAACTCAGAAGATACGTCAGAGAGTTGCTGTTTTCTACACATTTCCTGTGAACAATTAGACAGTTGTGTTCTTCTCTTTTTCATAATAACGTGACTTTTAAGTCTTTTTAGTTCTGTACCCAAATGAAGCATTAAAAGCAGCTTTACCTCTGAAAAGAGAGAGGGAGAAAATAATATATCTTTGCTCTGAATCATATTTTGTCAGCTTCATGGATGCCCTGGAAAGGCAAAATTAAAATTAAGCAAATTACTTTTATAAGATTTATAAATGCCAATCAGAACAACCAAGCCAGGGATTTCTGCAGCACCTGTCTCTATGAATCCCCACTCCATTTTACTCATTTGTTTTTTAAAACTGCATGGAAAAAAATCCTTGAAAAATATGATTTTCATAGGACTTGGTAAATATCTCGCATGAAGCAAAAAGGAAAACAAGTCAAGATCCTAAAGCATAGAGAAGAAATATATATTAAGTTGTAACAGAAAACAAGATGATGGTCATGCTTAAAAAGATGCATTGATCTATCTGTGTTTCTAAGACAGATATAGAATCATCTGCAGATAGCTGCAAGGCCAACTAGAATGTGGTTAGATCTAATGTTTAAGTGAGAACATCGAGTTTTGCTATAAGATAGCAGGGAAGTTTCAAGAAATAATAAAGTAAAGGAAATAAGAAGCAAAGCAAAGCACCAAGAAGGCATGTATATAAACCACTTCCAAAAATGTTCAAATAAAATAAAAACCATAAAAATGATTTAAAGAACAATCTATTGTAATAAAATAATTCATAAATAAAACATATTGGAAGTATTAAAACTAAGGTTAAGACGTTACTATTCTCTCCAGGTAGGTTATATTGCAAAATCTACCATTGTTCTATCAGAATGTATATTATAATTGATAGAAAATCCATTGTATTTTTTGCACACTAAACAACTATAGTGTGTTTGCAAAAAAACAGAAACTTCCAAGTGATGTAAACATAGATGTGAGCACAGCTCTATCACTTAATAGGCTCAGTCTCAATTTCTATATCTATGAAAGTGAAATGGTTGGCTTCATATGTGTTATTACTGTGTGATATGGTTTTCTCTGTGTCCCCACCCAAATCTCGCCTTGTAACTCCCATAATTCCCACATATTGTGGAAGGGACCTTGTGGGAGATGACTGAATCATGGGGGCAGGTCTACCCATTATTGTTCTCTGATAGTGATTGAGTTTCATGAGGTCTGATGGTTTTAAAAACGGGAGTCTCCCTGCACAAGCTCTCTCTCTTGCCTGCCACAATCCAAGGAGGAGACTTGCTCCTCCTTACCTTCCACCAAGATTGTGTGGTCTCCCCAGCCATGTGGAACTGTAAGTCCATTAAACCTCTTTTTTTTCCAGTCTTGGATATGTCTTTATCAGCAGCATGAAAATAGACTAACGCAGTAAATAAGTACCAGTAGAGTGGGTGCTGCTGAAAAGATACCTGAAAATGTGGAAGTGACTTTGGAACTGGGTAACAAGCAGAGGCTGAAACAGTTTGGAGGGCTCAGAAGAACACAGGAAAATGTGGGAAAATTTGGAACTTCCTAGAGATTGGTTGAATGGCTTTGACAAAAATGCCGATAGTGATATGAACAGTAAGGTCCAGGTTGAGGTAGTCTTAGATGGAGATGAGGAACTTGTTGGGAACTGGAGCAAAGGTGACTCTTGTTATGTTTTAGCAAAGAGACTGGTGGCACTTTGTCCCTGCCCTGGAGATCTGTGGAACCTTGAACTTGAGAGAGATGATTTAGGGTATCTGGCAGAGGAAATTTCTAAGCAGCAAAGCATTCAAGATGAGACTTGGGTGCTGTTATAGGCATTCAGTTTTATAAGGGAAGCAGAGCATAAAAGTTTAGAAAATTTGCAACCTGACAATGCAATAAAGGAGAAAATCTCATTTTCTGAGGAGAAATTCAAGCCAACTGCAGAAATTTGCATAAGTAACGAGGAGTCAAATGTTAATCCCCAAGACAATGGGGAAAATGTCTCCAGGGCATGTCAGAAGTCTTCATGGCAGCCACTCCCATCACAGGCCCAGAGGCCTAGGAGGAATAAAATGGTTTCATAGGCCAGGCCCAGGGTCTCTTTGCTGTGTGCTGCCCTGCATCCCAGCCACTCCAGCCATGACCAAAAGGGGCCAAGGTACAGCTCGGGCCATGGCTTCAGAGGGTGCCAGCCTCAAGCCTTGGCAGCTTCCACGTGGTGTTGAGCCTGTGGTGCACAGAAGTCAAGAATTGAAGTTTGGAAACCTCCACCTAGATTTCATTGGATGTATGGAAATGCCTGGTTGTCCAGGCAGAAGTTTGCTGCAGGGATGGGGTTCTCACGGAGAACCTCTGCTAGGGCACTGTGGAAGGGAAATCTCAGGCTGGAGCTCCTACACAGAGTCCCTACTGGGGCACTGCCTAATGGAGCTGTGAGAAGAGGGCCACCATCTGTCCTCCAGACCCCAGAATGGTAGACCCACCAACAGCTTGCACTATGTGCCTGGAAAGATGTAGACACAACACCAGCTGGGAGGGAGGCTGTACCCTGCAAAGCCACAGGGGCAGAGCTGCCCAAGACTATGGGAACCTACCTAGTGCATCAGTGTGACCCAAATGTGAGACATGGAGTCAAAGGTGATCATTTTGAAGGTTTAAGATTTTACTGCCCTGCTGGATTTGGGACCTGCATGGGGCCTGTAGCCCCTTTGTTTTGGCCAATTTCTCCCATTTGGAATGGCTGTATTTACCCAATGCCTGTACCCTATTGTATCTATGGAGAAACTAACTTGCTTTTGATTTTACAGGCTCATAGGCGGAAGGGACGTGTCTTGTCTCAGATGAAACTTTGGACTGTGAATTTTTGATTTAATGCTAAAATGAATTAAGACTTTGAGGGACTGTTGGAAAGGCAGGATTGGTTTTGAAATGTGAAGACATGAGATTTGGGAGGGGCCAGGAACAGAACGATATGGTTTGGCTGTGTACCCACCCAAATCTCATCTTGAACTGTAACTCCCTCAATTCCCATGTGTCATGGGAGGGACCCAGTGAAAGGTGATTGAATTGTAGGGGTAGGTCTTTCCTGTGCTGTTCCCATGATAGTGAATGAGTCTCATGAGATCTGATGGTTTTGAAAATGGGAGTCTCTTTGCACTAGCTCTCGCTCTTGCCTGCCGTCATCCATTTAAGTTTTGACTTGCTCCTCTCCTTGCCTTCCACCATGATTGTGAGGCCTCTCCAGCCATGTGGAACTGTAAGTCCATTAAACCTCTTTTTCTTCCCAGACTTTGGTATGTCTTTATCAGCAGCATGAAAGTGGACTAATACACATGATGTCAGCATTTGCTTCTGGTGAGGGCTTCAGGAAGCTTTTACTCATGGTAGAAGGCATAGCAGGAGTAGGGGTACATGTGTCACATGGCAAGAGAGGGAGCAAGAGAGAGAGGGGCAATACTAGACTCCTTTTAATAACCACATCTCAGAGAACTCATTACTATTGAGGGATCACCAAGCCATTCATAAGGGATCTGCCCCTATGACCCAAATACCTCCTCTTAGGCCCTGTCTTTAACATTGGAGATCACATTTTAACATGTGATTTGGAGGGAACAAACATCCAAACTGTGTCATGTTTCCTAAAATTCATATGTCAAAAACCTAATCACCAATGTAAAGTCATTAGGAGGTGGGTGCTGTGGGAGGTAATTAGGTCATGAGGCCTTCATGAATGGGATTAGTGCTCCTAAAAACTAGGCTTCAGAGAGCTGTCTCTGAACATGAAAATACATTCTAGCACATGAAAACACAGTTGTTTCCTCAGGAGAAGGTGGTGTTTACATGAACCAGAAAGCAGGCTCTCATCAGACACCAAATATGCCTGTGTCTTGGTCTTGGAATTCCCAGAAACCAGAACTCTGAGTAACACATTTCTGTTGTTTATAAGATATTTGGTTTATGGTATTTTGTTATATCACCCGGAACAAATTAAGACAGTATCCAATTACCTACTTGCTTACAATAGAAAGATTAATAATTATTGTGTTGATGACATATTTGTGAATCAACAAATTCTAGGTTTGTTTCTTTTTCTTCTTTTTGAGACAGTCTCACTCTGTCACCCAGGATGGAGTACAGTGGCACAGTCTTGGCTCACTGCAGCCATCGTCTCCCGGGTTCAAGTGATTCTCCAGCCTCAGCCTCCTGAGTAGCTGGGATTACAGGTGCACACCAGTACGCCTGGCTAATTTTGGTATTTTTAGTAGAGATGAGGTCTCACCATGTTGGCCAGGCTGGTCTCAAACTCCTGACCTCAAATGATTCGCCTGCCTTGGCCTCCCAAAGTGCTGGGATTACAGGCGTGAGCTGCAACGCCTGGCCCTGTTTCTTTTTCTTTATTGTTACCATCAACATACACAGTGAATATGTTGATAAAAAGCAATGCAATTTTGGAAACTGTACTCCATGACATACATAAATTGCCTGGTAAGTATGGAAATGTTTATTTTATTTTACTTCATTTTGTTTTATTTTTTGAGACAGAGTCTTGCTCTGTTGCCCAGGCTGGAGTGCAATGGCGTGGGTCTTCACTTACTGCAACCGCCACCTCCTGGGTTCAAGCGATTCTCCTGCCTCAGCCTCCTGAATAGCTGGGGTTACAGGCATGTGCCACCAGGCCCAGCTAATTTTTTGTATTTTTAGTAGAGATGGGGCTTCACCATGTTGGCCAGGCTGGTCTCGAACTCCTGACCTCATGATCCGCCCACATTGGCCTCCCAAAGGGCTGAGATTACAGGCGTGAGCCACAGCGCCTGGCCTATTTTTTATATATATTTATATAAAAACATTTATTTATAAATGTTTATATATATAATAGATTTTAATTTATTTGATCTTTGTTTAAAATTTATTACAACTATATTTTATAAAAACATAAAATGACAATACATTTTTTTTGCTAAAATAATCAAGTACTTTATTGAAAATACCCTCAATTACATAAAGCACAAAAAGGAACTATTTACATACCAGTGACCACAGGAAGTGTATGAATCAAGAGACCACCCAGGTAGAATAAAGGTATTATTTATGATTAACTACTAAAATATTCTCATTCTTAATTACAGTTGAGCTCTTTAATTTTTTCAAATTAACTGTAAACTATTGTTTAATCATTTATTAACCTTTAGCAGCAAGAATGGCAACCACGGAATTGACAGAATATATTTGTTTGAGAATGTTATATTAGATTGAGCCAAATGAAATTTCTAGTATCCTATTTGTTTTTTTACCATATTGATAACTTTATATGTTTCAATAAAAGGATTTTGTTCATTTTACCCTAAAATATGTTTGTTTAAGGAAGATGAGGTTTTTCATTTAAGATGTAAACACTTGCACTATCTTTGTAAAAATTAAACTCTTTCTGTGTGTGTACACATACTTGGCTGGCTCTCTCTTACACCTATAGTAAAAAATAAATTTTCCACTATGTATGTATGTAAATAAACACAAAGTAATTACATGGTTAATAAATACATATTGAAGTGTTATATGAGATATAGAACAAATTATAATATTTAGAAAAATCAATACATTCTTAAATATTAGTAAAATATTTCTTAAATATGTTGAATGCATTCTTAAAAACTTAGTGTGAAATAGTTTTATATGCAGCAGATGTCTCCCAATTATATTTCTAAATAAATAAATATTAAAAGATTAATGAATTGGTCATAAAAAATGCATGTTACAGAATATTAGTGTATCTTTTTTTTTTAACCTATGTAATGACTTTATTTTATTATTATTTTTTATTATTATACTTTAAGTTCTAGGGTACATGTGCACAAAATGCAGGTTTGTTACATATGTATACATGTGCCATGTTGGTGTGCTGCACCCATTAACTCGTCATTTACATTAGGTATCATTGCATAAGCTATCAATGCAATGTAAGATCCAATAATATAAAATATGAGCTTAATAGCTAAAAAGTGTTTTGCTGATTTGGCGAAGAGACACATATTTTTATTGAAATAGACACTATACCTTTACGAATCAAGTTTCTGAGGCATATGGCACATTAGATGAAATAATATAAAACATAAAATATATACTTATATTAAATAAATATAAAACACAATGCCATGACTATATAGTTGTATTAGTCCATTTTCATGCTGCTGATAAAGACATACTCAAGTCTGGGGAAAAAAAGAAGTTTAATGGGACTTAACAGTTCCACATGGCTGGAGAGGCCTCAGAATCATGGTGGGAGGTGAAAGGTACTTCTTACATGGCAGCAACAGGAGAAAAAATGAGGAAGAAGCAAATGGGGAAACTACTGATAACCCATCAGATCTCATGAGACTTATTCACTATCAGAAGAATAGCACGGGAAGTTACCTCCATCTGGGTCACTCCCACAACACATGGGAATTCTGGGAGATACAATTCAAGTTGAGATTTGGGTGGGGACACAGCCAAATCATATCAATAAATAACTAATTTAACAGGTAAATGTTTGGCAAACTAATCAAATTAGAAGATTAATTTTGTTTTTAGCTTTCTGCAACCCAAGCCATAAAGAGAAGAAATGTTTCATTATTATTATTGTAAATAATATTTAATATTTTAGTTAATATTTAATTATTATAAATTTATTACAAATAAAATTGGTTTAATGTGTCACATGCTTTTAGTTTTGTAGAATTTGTTTTGTTTTTCTGTAGAGACAAAATTTTCCCTGGCATTAAATCTCATTAAAAATAAAAGTAGCACATGGGTCATTTTATAAAGTAACATAATAAACATTATACTCAATTTCATTTTTGCAGAGCATGCATAAGGTAGACATGCTTTCTAATGAATTTCATCGATTCCAATGCATATTTTGTGGAATCATAGCCATGCCAACAGATTGCTATAGAGAGCTAGAGCACACTAAACCAAATACAGAGTTTTGGGAGGTTTAAGTTGATAGAAACAGAAATGTTAAAAACATAAAGAAAATCTAAAAATGTCCCTTATATCATCTCTTAGGTCATATAGACAGCTTTTAAGTGGATTCCAAGATTTTAAGAATGCAATCTTACTCTTACCTCATGTATTTGCATAAGCTAATTATGTTTAGCATGCCACACCAACAGCAGTATGGGGAACGTTACAATAAAAAATATGTTAATTTTTATAGTTCTGGCTCCTTATTCTCCCAACCCAAGCAATAAATTCTCATATTTTTGGGTTCCAGACATGTCACTTTTGAAAAGAAAGTGGTTATCAATATGTGCATAGTATGCTACTATTATTAAATCATCAGTGGACTCTTGAATCTTTTTTACAGTGGCTTTCCAGGAAATAAAAATGGATTCAGTTTGATCTTCAGCAAATCTGGAATAACGTGCCATTTCATGATAACACCATATATTATACAGTGATCTTATCCATTTCCCATCGTCTTGTTTTACAGAATAGATTTGATCTTATCACCATCTAAACCTCACCAGTGTAGACGTGTGCGTGTGTGTGTGTGTGTGTGTGTGTGTGTGTGTTGAGAGAAGGTCTTTTTCATTTTATTTACTTACAGGTTCTCAAAGAAAAGGCAATTATAGTTCTCTTAAAATATATAATTTGACCTACCTACTGCAAGTAATATGGGCGAGACTTTTCTGCAATAGATACTATTTAACAGGATATTTTAAAGAAATATCTGAGGTATAGATGTCCTTCATTGCAAACTGGCACAGTTGTATAAGCTTAAGAAATAAATATCAAAGATCAAGTTTACAGACCTGAAAGCTAAAAATGTTGACATATCTTTGTTTTCCAGCTAGGTCAGCCTACCATTTCTGGGAAATAAACCACATACATTCTAAAAGTTATAAAAGGAGCTGAGCTACATATCTGTCCAAGGACTGATATGAATGCCTATTTGAAACCCCCATTTTTTTTTCACAAACCACTGAAGAAATTTAAATTAGTCATGGAAAAATAAATAATGATAATACTACCCATAAACTTAGCCATTAAAAATTAGAATGATTCTTATTACAATACCTGATTCTGAGTAGTGTTACCTCTTCTTGTGAAGTGGGCTGAAAAATGTGCTTTCAAATATATTTGGCCTACTGGACATAAATATTATCTATTGTTTACATTTTAAAATAAGAATTTATAATATTTACTACACATCACAATTTCATGTTTAGAAAAATAAATAAATATGATTTTTAGAGCATGCTAACAACATAGATAAAGATGATTGTTATTTTCTCCAGCAGATTCACTGAAAAGTAACTATTTTATTGTCATTTGACACAGGATAGTTTCTTCGCATTTGAAGCACTTATAACATCACTGTACTTTTTATGGGAAATGTTATGATACTGGAGTATTAGCCTTAGGAGGGACTATGTGATATTATTATCTCTTGGCAGAACCTTATCATGGAGAGTATGAGAATTCCAGAAAGAACAGGACTACCAGGCTGCTTCACAGAAGTCTTATGTCATGCTCTAATGATGATTTGTGATCATTCTGTAATCTAGCTGGTTAGTGATCCTTAATCAGTTTAGTCATTTTAGCAGGTTTTTTTGGTGAATTAATTCTTTAGACATATTTCCTTTTTGTGTCTGTTTTGAAATAATGTTTCAGTTTTAAAATCTGAGAATAATTTTTATATTGCAAATCATTTTTCTGTAACAAATTAAGATAGGAGATCCTCCAGTATCAGTCAATAAGTTGGACATGTAATATGCTTGTTCCATTAGTACTTGAAATTTAAAGTGAAATCTGTAATGATAATTTAAAAAAAGAGTAAAGCTGAATGCAGTGGCTCACACCTGTAATCTCAGCACTTTGGACGGCTGAGGTGGGAGGATTGGGTGAGCTCAGGAGTTCAAGACCAGCCTGGGCAATATAGAGAGGCCTTTAGTTTTTTAAAATTCAATTAAAATTTAGTTAAGTGTTGTGGCTCATGCCTGTAGTCCTAGCTACTACAGAGGCTGAAGTGAGAGAATCGCTTGAGCATGAGAGTTCGAGGCTGCAGTGAGCCATGATCACAACTTTGCACTCCAGCCTGGCCAACAGAGTAAGACTCTGTCTCAAAATAAATACATCAATAAATTTTTAAAATAAAAGAGTATATAAAAATCCCAAATCTTCATAATATAAACAAGAGCAATAATGGAAAATAACACTTATTTTAGTGGATTTTAAGGTAGTTAAAGACATGGACATTCAAAAATATTATTTTACCCAAATATTTGGCATGCCTGATTTGACTATTTTAAATATAGCATAGCTAAACACACCCTCTTTAATTAATTTTTAAATATTTATTTAACCCAGACACTCATAAATTCTTTTTACTGACTGAATAGATAAATGTTTCTAATTGCATAACAAATAAATTTTTAGCGAGGACAAATGTGATGCGCAGTGAACAAAAATACTCAAAAAGATAATAGATTAAAGGAAATGCATAATGCATATATATATATATATATATATATATATATATATATAGAGAGAGAGAGAGAGAGAGAGAGAGAGAGAGAGAGAGAGAGAGAGAGATACACGCTCTCTGTCACCCAGGCTGGAGTGCAGTGGTGCAGTCCTGGCTCACTGCAATCTCTGCCTCCCGGGTTCAAACGATTCTTATGCCTCAGCCTCCCAAGTAGCTGGAACTACAGGCACACGCCACAATGGCTGGCTAACTTTTGCATTTTTTTTGTAGAGATGGGATTTCGCCACATTGGCCAGGCTGGTCTCAAACTCCTGACCTCAGGTGATCTGCCCGTCTGGGCCTCCCAAAGTGCTGGGATTCCATGCCTGGCCTGGAAATGCATATATATTTTTAAAAACTTATTATATGGAATTATATGGAAATATTAATTGCAATAATGTGCTGTGTATTTAGATAACTCAATATAAATTAAATAATATAAATGAAAGTCAATTTTTAAGTTAAATTTAATAACAAAAATGATAAGTTAATTTTTACAGATTATGAAACATTTTTAAAGTTTTGTTTGACAAGTATCTAAAATTTCCTGAACCCAAGTGCCAGCTAATTAAAATCCACTAAATTATGGCCATTTTATAGGATCACTGGGAGTCAGGAGAGCTTCTGTTGCAAATACTTCAAAATAAAAAATTATTCATCACAAAGAAATGGGATTATTAGCCCATAAAACTTGTTTAAAACAAATAAATCCAAATTTGAGGATAAAATGTATGCTTTACATATTTATCTGTAATATATATACATAAATGCACATATTTGGCATTTTGTAGGTCTGTACACATAGTACGTTTTCTATTTGAAGTCTCTTTTTTGAAATGGAGTCTTGCTTGGTTGCCCAGAGCTGGAGTGCAATGGTGCAATTCTGGCTCACTGCAACCTCCGCCTCCCTGGTTCAAGCAATTCTCCTGCCTCAGCCTCCCGAGTAGCTGAGATTACAGGCACACACCACCACGCCTGGCTAATTTTTGTATTTTTAGTAGAGACTGGGTTTCACCATGTTGGCCAGGCTGGTCTCAAACTCCTGACCTCAAGGGATCTGCCTGCCTCAGCTTGAATTAGAACCCTATTTTATACATGAAGTTCTAAAAAGCTAAAGAAAAAATATTCTAACCTATTTGTGAAGCAAATTCTATCCATGGCATTCTAAAAGATTGAGAACTTTATGAAAATGATAAATTATTATATATAGGTCTACATATCCAAATTTTAAATATAAGTTAAATCAAATTTTAGAAATATATACATTTCTACTGTGTAACAAATGAGTTATAGTATTGGGGAGCCCCAAAACCAAAATTTCTCTGAGTATACTATTTACATATACTGTACATTGTTCAAAAATCTCCTGTTAATTTGATATCCAAGTGCTTTCAAACACTGAAAAAAAAAAGAACATTCTTTTTGGAAACGAAAATTTACAGATGCAGTGTCCTCCATAGAGGACTATTTTATCTCTGCTTAGTTCTTGCCTGTATCCTTCAAATCAGTATTAAATTTAGTAGTGATAAGATCTACATTTTAGTTTTCTATTTCTTCCATAAGAAATTTCCACAAATTTGGAAGATTAAAAACACAAATTTTATTACTTTACATTTCTGTATGTGAGAACTCTGACATGGCTTTCCCTGGGCTAAGACCAAGCTGTTGTCAGGCTGTGTTCATTTCTGACTTTCTGAGGGCTTTAGGGGAGAATCCATTTTTCCGCACATTGAAGCTGTTGCTAGAATTTGGTTCTTGGCAGTTGTAGAATTGAGTCCCCCAATTTCTTTCTGTCTGTTTGCTGAGGGCTGTTTCGAGCTTTTAGAAACCACCCATATGCCCTGATTCGTGGTCCCTGCCTACATTGTCAAAACCAGCAACAATGAATGGAATTCAGGAGTCTCTCTCACACTTAGAAATCTCTCCTTTTCTTCTGTCATCACATCTCTCTAACCGGTTCTTCTGCCTTCCTCTTTCATTTCTAGGAGCCCGTGTGATTTTCTTGGTCCAATCCAGTTAATCTCAATAGTCTTCCTACTTTAAAGTCCATAATCTAATTCCATTGGGAAAAATTATTTATTCATGTAACATAATTTATTTACAAAGGCCACGGATTAGGCCATGGACATCCATAGGGGATGCTCTTCTGCCTATCACAGTCTATAATCAGTTGAAGTCTGCTTTGAGAATTCATTCCATAGTGTTAACACAATAGAGAGATCCTACAAGAACATTTACCATGGCCTTCAAAGTGTTACGACCTCAGCGGCTTTACACTTGCTCTTTCCTCTACCTCAAAAGTGTTTCCATGTTTGCTCAAATAATGTCCCCATCTCTGTATGGTGCAGGTCTTAATGTAAAAAGGATTTCCTATTCATATGTAAATTAACCACTGGTCGCACTTACTATTTATCAGATTACCCCCAATTTATTGTCTTCATAACACTTATTACTGTCTAAAATTATCTGGTAAAATGAAAGTTAATCTAGAAAATAACATGTTTACAGAAAATAAACAATAACTACACTTTATACAATTCTTACTTGAATTGGAAAAACAAAAGGCTACTTGGTATTCTTACAGGAGATTAGAATAGAATAGAGTTTCATGGAAAAATCAATCTGTGTAAGAAAACAAAATCCAATATAAAATGTGTTATAGTGGCAATGTATTGTAATAAAAGCTTAATAAAATAGCAATCTAAATGGAGTTATATTAGAAGAGACAGGTAACTAACTAGAAGTCTGTTTTTAAAGATATAGTTCAAATAGTAGGTCTATATATTCTACATATATTATCATATATGTAGGAACTTCCCATTGAAGCTCCTTTTTATTATCAATGGCTTGATATTATTATTTTAAATAAATGAATTAGACATATAAAATTCTAAGTTTATAGATTATTATTACTAACTAAAAAAAAATTGCTTTCAAATTTGCCTCTTACCTGCAAAAGGGGCAGGTGTATTGGGAGTAAAATGTTCTATTTTCCTGTGGCTAGTGGTAAACATTTCTTGCATCTTTGGCTCTTAGAAGTTAATTGCTTCTTACAGTAAGTCATATTAAGCACTGAACAATTTATGTTAAAATCATCGCTAAAAGCTCAGTGTGGTGGCTCACACCTGTGATCCAGCAGTTTGGGAGGCTGAGGTGGGTGGATAACTTGAGCCTAGGAGTTCAAGACCAGCCTTGGCCACATGGTAAAACCCCATCTTTGCAAAAAATAAAAAAAATTAGCCAGGCTTTGTAGTGCATGCCTGTATGTAGCCTCAGCTATTAGGGAGGCTGAGGCAGGAGGATTGCTTGAGTCCTGAAGGTGGAGTCAGTCTGCAATGACCCAAGATCATGCCACTGCACTCCAGCCTGGGTAACAGAGTGAAACCCTGTCTCAAAAAAAAAAAAACAAAAAAAAACACTGAGTCTTCTTTTATGCATAGATACTAGGAAATATGTACTTCCACTAAAAGTACTACCCAAATAAAATATTACAAATTGTATTAATTGATAGAGTTATAAATAATCTAGAAAATATAGTAAATGTTATTTACTAAACATTCATAAAATGCATTTTTCCAAGTCAGTGTCCTTTCATTTAAAATCAAAAACTAAAATGTTTAATATTTTTATTTTTGACATTAAGAATAATGTTACCTTATCATTTAAATTTTAATTCAAATCTTCATTAAATGATTTTGAATGTTTAATGAATATTTTAAATGAATCAAGCTGCAACTATTAACCTTTATGAAACAGAATATGAATTTACTAGTTTAATATTATTAACCATTATTTACCACAGTCTACATTTAGAAAAAATAATGCTCTAATGTCATTGTTTAAATTTATTCTTAATTACCAATACTTAATTACCAGTTCATATTTAATTACCAAAGGAGTTGGCCATTTTTAATATTTTGGTTAAATCAAATTAAATCATAATTCATTTTACTTTATTTCATTCTAATATGTATAATCTTAGGATTTTATATTTAATTTTAATTGATGATATGAAAAATATTGGAAATCTATTTTTAATATTGAAATTTCAATAAAATGTCACTTTAAAATAACATTTTAACAAAAAATTTTTAGTATTTAAATGCTAGAGATTCATCTAAAAATAGAATCAAGTACATTCACAAATACTGAAGAATAAAAAGGACAAATATGTGGATCAGATAGCTTCTGACAACAGACTGCCAAAAATATTCTCATCTATCTATTAGATGTTCTCACCTAGAGTTTATAGAGCTGAAATATTGCATTTAAAAGAGCTTATAGTCAAAATTTCAATATATAGTCACTGAACTTCCAGAAAATTCTCAATGGACATAATTCTGTATCTTAAAATATCGCCACAACTAAATCACTACCACCATCACACACCATTTTTGATAGTGAAGGAGTTCAGTTTTGCCTCTGTACTTTGGAACTGTGCACTGGTAAATACAAAAGCTCCTGGCCACAGTTTTCTCAATGCATTTTCCTTAGACAGCTGTCTTGTTTAGTTGACTGATCCAGTGTGACCTGCTTATATTACTGTCTTTCACACTCTGCCACTGCATTCTAACTTCTATTATATTATTGTTTCATTAGCTTTATTTACTCATTCTGAATCCTCTTTTTCAGTTGGTCTCCTAGCAACACAATCAGCTTCCCTGTTGTCATGTCCTTGGATCACACAGATCAAAGAAGAAACCCTGCCTCACACTGTCTCATCTCCACAGAATCCCTCTTCCAACCTTCCTATCTTTTCTATTTCCCATTGATAGAGGGAAACTTGTAGACTCTTCTCATCAACAAAAGATAAAAAATTTATTTGTTGGCCGGGCGCTGTGGCTCACGCCTGTAATCCCAGCACTTTGGGAGCCCGAGGTGGGCAGGTCACGAGGTCAGGAGATCGAGACCATCCTGGCTAACACGGTGAAATCCCATCTCTACTAAAAATACAAAAAAAATTAGCCGGGCGTGGTGGCGGGTGCCTGTAGTCCCAGCTACTCTGGAGGCTGAGGCAGGAGAATGGCGTGAACCCGGGAGGCGGAGCTTGCAGTGAGCTGAGATTGTGCCACTGCGCTCCAGCCTGGGCAACAGAGAGAGACTCCATCTCAAAAAAAAAAAAAAAAAAAAAAAAAGTATTTCTTCATATAATTCCAGACAGCAAAGGAGTCTCCATATTCTATTCCTTATTCCATTTCTCAAAGTATAAATGCTTAATTTTTTAAGCACACACACACAAATAATTATTGCTGTTTTTGTCTTCACTGAAATATTTGTCAAGCTATAGTCCAAGAAGCTATGAAGGTCACCAGATATCTTTCAGGGGGTCCATAAAGTAAAAACCATTTTAAAACTATTGCTAAGAAGTTATTATCTTTTCAACTGTCATTCATTTATGAATGCAGAGTTAAGTTTTCTAGATGCTAATGATGTGATGATATCATTCTAATAGTTTAACAAAATGTGGACTTGTGCATTCGTGTTTTTAAATTTTCTATTTTTAATTTAATATGAAATATATATGAGTGTGTATATATATATATATATGCATGATATATCTCTAACAAAAGTTATTGGGTCTATCACTGCATTTATGTATCTAATGGGGTTAAAGATAAAAAGATTGAGAACAGATCCTTCACTGCATATGTGTTGCTAGTGAGTCTTACAAAATTTACAAGTTTTGTTTTATTCTCTACCTCAGTTTAGGTGTCAGGAATGATATATGTAGTAATTTGTAGAGTAGTAGACCAAACTTTGATGAGCTGACAGGTGTTAGATATGTGCCATCTTTTGAAAGATGCTGTATTGCATCTGATTAATTTCACATTTCTGCTTTAGAACGTTATATGTCTTTAAGTATAGGAATAAAAACATTAATGTAATAAGAACCTTAAGTCTTTGTGCCCTGAGGGTGTCATAGCAGAGATGAAGATTAGTTTTTAAAAATAATTCAGAAAAATCTGAGCCCATAATCAGCAGTGCCAGAGTGTTGAAGTTTAATGCTGGGTTATGTGAACCAAAACATAGTATATATTAGTTTTCATGCTTTCAATCAAAAATCAGAGGTATATTACTGACTGCAAGAATTCTCTGTGAATACAGCAATGTGTGGGTGGTCCTCAAAGCCAATTTAATTTATTGTGGAACAGTACCCTCCCCTGATGCCTTAAGCAGATTCCCTCTTAGCATGGACTCTATTTCCCTCTCTAGGTAATGGCATGAGAGACAGACTACTACTTGTTACAGTAAATTAAATGCTTCCCACCTCTTTATCTCAAGTTTTCAAGAACTTCACTCTGATATCTGTACACTGCTTATTTTGCTGAGAACTCTTTTAAACTTTGAACTTAAGGGAGTGGAGTTGAAATCTGTCCATTAATATTTCCCAGACTGATATATTCAATCTTGAAGTTTTTTTAGAATCATGTGGACATTGGCTTACCAAATAGTCAGAACATTAGTAATGAATTTGGATTATTAACTTAGTATTAACCATGAATAAGTAAAAAGAAATTAATGTGAAACATAGCCTTATTTCATTGAGTTAGGTATAGACCCTTTGGTGACTGATTCTAATTAATATGTTTCTTCTCTATTTTATAAGTTATTAGTATTTATTAAACTGTAAAGATTTAAGCTTTGTTTTATTATGAAATTATTTTTATAGATGTATGGATTTTTATAAAATCTTACTTTAAAATTTGGTGATAAGCATATGAATAAACTATAGTTTGACTAGTGCATATAGATAGTTTGAAAAACTACATATCCTTTATTTCTTCATAGACCACGAGTCAGTAAACTATTGCTTGTGAGTCAAATGTGAGCCCTGTGATCCCACTACCAATTCGTGTATGAGCTATGAATGTTTCTTACATTTTTAAATGGCTAAACAAAATTTTAAGAATAATATTTTGTCATGTTTTAAACTTATGCACAATTCAAGTTTCACTACCCATAAATAGAATTTTCTAGAAACAAGCTTATCCTATTCCACTAGGTATTATTTGTGACTGTTCTCAAGCTACAACAGCTGAGTAATTTAAACAGTAATCAGGACATGTCTTTAAAGCTTTCACCCCAAGTTTTCTCATCCACAGGTCTTAATTTTCATCCAGACCACCTTCAGCCCACTTCTACTGACCACAAGCTTTTGGATCCTGCCCTGGGTCTCTGAGCACAGCAGAATACAGGAGAATCCCTTTCTTCTGGAGACATGATGCCTTATCTTCCCTCCCAAAGGACCATCTCTGCTTCAATTCCACTGCCAGCCACATCCTTGCTACCACCCTCTTACTACTTCCTATTCCAGCCAAACTGTATTAGTTTTTAATTTATTTCACTCAGTTATTCTTATTACAGTTTAAATATAGAAAATACAAAATATGGATATTTATTTTATTTCTTATTATACAAGCATATCCATGTTATCTTTGATATTGCTACTTGGTCCACACAGGTGGATAAGGTACCATATTTACCATCTGACCCTTTATAGAAAAAGTTAGCTGACCCCTCGTCTAAACTATGAAGACAGAAACATCTGTTTTTTTCCTTATTGTAGTCCCACAACAGGTGTAAATGTGTCCTAAATGAATATCATTAAGTGAATAAATGATGGAAAAATTGTATTTTCCTGTATTGTCTAATAACCAGATATATTCTTATTCTTTATCTGTCACCTATTTATCCTAATTTCAACTAACTTATCTTTTCCATGAATCATTCTCAACTAACTTCAATTGGGACTGATTTCATGAACAGACTTCAATCATTTTAACATTTCTTTGCTATTCATTTACATATTTTGTTTTTAAAGATCAAGTATAATTTTGTGAATAATAAATTATTATACTATTTGTTGCTTGTTAGCAGGTGATTAGATGCTATATCCCTTGAGAACTAAGTTTCTCTGCAATGACTTTCACTTTCTACAGCATCTTATGAATTATGATTGATATAAATGTTCACAACATGTTTCTGGAATTCAGTGACCCAATGAATGAGCTGTCTTCACAAATGAAAAACTAAACTTCAGCAAAGCAAAATACTCATCAAAATTCAAAGGTGTGTTTTAATTGGCCTGGAGTTCAATGACACTCAGGAAAAGTAAGAATACACTATACTAGTTCCAGCAAAAATTAAATAAGTACATTAATTACTTGTGTATGTTACAATAAATATGCTTTAAAAATAAAGTCATCAGTAAATAGAAGATAGCCAGCTAATGCAGCCAGGTGGAACAGCTCCCACTGAAATGACTGGCGTGCTTATAACAGCTCTTCAGAGGGAAGATGCTAAGTGGGTAGGGAAGGAAGGCACAGAAGCTGGACTGAAGGGGGATAAAGCTGGGAACACTGTATGGGGCTATGGCACAGAGGCACTCATTTTTGGACCGCAACAGCTCCAGGGGAATGAGTAAGTTAAATTGGCAAGCAGCAACCTTGTCTTGCCATGGGCCTCTGGAGCCCCAGCAGTAGGAGACCTCAAACAACACGAACACTCAAGTTGGCAGAAAGAGCTTTTAGAGAAGTGGGAGGAGCAGCAAGACAGCTGATGTGAAGCCCAGAAGGTTTGATGCAGAAACATCTGAAGTGGAGTATGGACAGGGATGGCCATTTCTCTAGACTTGACTTGTTGCCATAGGAGACTTTAGCTCTAGGGGAACTGTCAAACTGATTTCTGCAGGGTGGTTTTGCCCATCAGATGGGGCTGGTCTGATCTGAATAACCCTTGGTCTGCTGGCCTCTCCTGGCACCTCAGCTTGGGCATGCCTGTTTGCAAGGAAGTCCTGGGTGCCCTAGAGACCCACACTATGGCTTTTGCACTTGCTGACTGTGCCTAACTAATGGAGACCTCCAGTCAGGTGGCTCCTATGGCCATACATAGGCCCACCTACTCCCTCCCCATACTGCAGCTTCTTCTGGGCCCACACTGAATGATCTCTCTCCTGCTTGTGGGGCACAGAGGAGACACCCAGACCTGTGCTTGCCAGCATCTTATCCCCAAAACAACTCCACCTCAAGTGCAACCATGCACACAGTGTCCAGTAGGGGCCCACTGAAGCCCCAACTGTGTTGCCTGTGCCACTGTGGTGCAAGTCTGCAGGAGACTGCCACAACTGACAAACCTTAACGCCCCCAGCACAGTAAATTCCAAACCTTGAGGAGCCAGAGAGAAAAGCTGGGGCACAATAAGTGTCCTTCAGAATTAGAGCACACAGTACAGGAATCAGGAGTTGAATGTTGGCCCCCTAATACGTTCCAGAAATTAAGCCAGTCTGCTGAAACCACATTATACCATAATCAATCCCTCACAGTCATCAAATAGGATTAAAAAAATAAAAAAACATCCAAATGTCAGCAATCTAAAAGATTGAAGGTAGATAAACCCACAAATATGAGAATCAGCACAAAAAACTTGAAAAACTTTAAAAGCCAGAATACCTTCTATTTTCCAAATGATTGCATCACCTCTCCAGCAATCATCTTTCCAGCAAGGCTTCTGAACCAGGCTGAGGTGGCTGAAATGACAGAAAAAGAATTCAGAATATGGATACGAATAAAGGTCATTGAGCTACATGTTGAAACTCAATGCAAGGAAGCTAAAAATCTTCATAAAACAATGTAGGAGCTGACAGGCAACACAGCCAGTATGGAAAATAATGTAGTCATCCCAATAGAGCTGAAAAACATACTACAAGAATTTCATAATGCAATCACAAATATTAATAGAAGATTTAACCAAGAGGAAGAAAGAATCTCAGAGCTTTCAGACTGCCTTTCTGAAATAAGGCAGTCTGTCAAGAACAGAGAAAAAATAATAAAAATGAATGAAGAAAATATCTGAGAAATAGAGATTTATGTAAAGAGACCAAATATATGACTTATTAGTGTCCCTGAAAAGGATGGGGAGAGTGGAACCAACTTGGAAGACATATTTCAGGACATTAGCAATGATAACTTTTCCCAACCTAGCTAGAGAGGCAAACATTCAAATTCAGGAAATGTAGAAAACTCCAGTAATAAACTTCACAAGAAGATCATCTCCAAGACACATAATCATATTTTTAAAGGTCAAAATGAAAGAAAAAATGTTAAAGACAGCTAGACAGGAAGGTCAGGTCACTTATAAAAGAAAGCCCATTAGACTAACAGTGAACCTCTCAGCAGAAACCCTTCAAACCAGAAGAGATTTGGGGCCAATAGTCTACATTCTTAAAGAAAAGAAATTCCAACTCATAATTTTATATCTGGCCAAACTAAGCTTCATAAGCAAAGGAAGAATAAAATTACTGTCAGACAAGCAAAGGCTGAGGGAATTCATTACCACCAGACTTCCCTTAAAAGAGCTCCTGAAGGAAGTGCTGAATATGGAAAGGAAAAATTGTTACCAGCCACTACAAAAACACACTGAAGTACATAGACAAGTTATACTATAAAGCACCCATATAAACAAGTCTGTAAAATAACCAGCTAAGATCATGATGACATGGTCAAATCTACACATAATGATACTAACCTTTAATGTAAATGGGCTAAATGCCCCAATTAAAATACACAGAATGACAAACTGGATAAAGAACCAAGACCCATTGGTATGCTGTCTTCAAGAGACCCATCTCACAGACAATGACACACATAGGCTCAAAATAAAGAGATAAAAAAATCTTATTAAGGAAATGGAAAACAGAAAAAAAGCAGAGGTTGAAATCATAGTTTCTGACACAACAGAATTTAAACAAACAAAGATCAAAAAAGACAAGGGCATTACATAACAGTAAAGGTTCAATTCAGTAAGAAGATCTAACTATCTTAAATATATATGCATCCAGGAGCACCCAGATTCATAAAGCAAGTTCTTAGAGACCTTCAAAGAGATTTAGATTCCCACACAATAATAGTGGGAGAGTTTAACACACCACTGACGATATTAGACAGATTATCAAGACAGAAAATAAGCAAAGACATTTAGAACCTGAACTCAGCACTGAATCAAATGAACCTCATGGATATCAACAAAACTCTCCACCCAAAAACAACAGAATACACATTTTTCTCACTGCTACATGGCACATAATCTAAAATTGATCACAGAATCAGAAGTAAAATACCCCTCGACAAATGCAAAAGAATTGAAAATCATAACAAACAATGTCTCAGACCACAGATCAAATTAGAAACCAGATTAAGAAATGTATTGAAAAACATACAATGACATAGAAATTGAACAACCTGCTCCTGAGTGAATTTTGGATAAATAATGAAATTAAGACAGAAATCAAGAACTTATTTGAAACTACTGAGAAGAAAGACACAACGTACCAGAATCTCTGGGACACAGCTAACACAATGTTAAGAGGGAACTTTATAGCACTAAATGCCCACATCAAAAGTTAGAAAGATCTCAAGTTAACAACCTAACATCACAATGAAAAGGACTAGAGAAGCAGGAGCAAACAAATCCCAAAGCTAGCAGAAGACAAGAAATAGCCAAAATCAGAGCTGAACTGAAAGAGATTAAGACAGAAAAAAAAATTCAAAAGATCAACAAATCCAGAAGCTTGTTTTTTGAAAAAAAAAATAATAAAATGGACCATTAGCTAGACTAATAAAGAAGAAAAGAGAGAAAATTCAAATACAACTAGAAACAACAAGGATATTACCACTGACCTCATAGTAATACAAACAACCATCAGAGAATATTATGAACACCTCTGTGCACATAAACTAAAAAATCTAGAACAAATGGATAAATTCCTGGACACATACATCCTGCTAAGACAGAATCAGGAAGAAATTGAATCTTTTAAAAGACCAATATTGAGCCCTGAAATTAAGGTAGCTATAAATAACCTACCAACAACAACAACAACAAAAAGCCCAGGACCAGATGGATTTACAATTGAATTCTTCCAGATGTTCAAAGAAGAGCTGTTTCCATTCCTGCTGAAACTACTCTAAAAAATTCAGGAGGAGGGACTCCTGCCTAACTTATTCTATGAGGCCAGCATCATCCTGATACTAAAACCTGGCAGAGAAATAACAAAAATAGTCAACTTCAGGCCAATATCCTTGATGAACATAAATGCACAAAAATCCTCAATGAAATATGGGTGGATTGAATCCAGCAGCACATCAAATACCTTATTCAACAGAATCAAGTAGGGTTTGCCCTGGGATGCAGTGTTGATTCAACAAATGCAAATCAATAAATATGATTCATCACATAACAGAACTAAAGACAAAAACCACATAATTATTTCAATAGATGCAGAAAAGGCTTTTGAAAAAATTCAACACTACTTCATGTTAAAAATTCTCAATTAACTAGGTGTTGAAGGAACATATCTCAAAGTAATGAGAGCCTTATATAACAAACCCACAACCAACATCATACTGAATGTTGAAAAGCTGGCACTATTGCCCTTGAAAACCAGCAGAAGACAATGGTGTTTTCTCTCACCATTCTTATTAAACAGTCTTGGAAGCCCTGGTCAGAGCAATCGAAAAGAGAAATAAATAAAGGGAATCCAAATAGGAAGAGAGGAAGTCAAACTATCCCTGTTTGCAGACAATAATACTATATCTAGGACACTCCATAGTCAGCCAAAAATCTTCTTAAGCTGATAAACAACTTCAGAAAAGTCTTTGAATACAAAAATCAAACATCCCTATACACCAACAACAGTCAAGGTGAGAACCAAGTCAGAAAGACAATCTCATTCACAATTGCCACAAAGAGAATAAAATACCTGGGAATACAGCTAACCAAGGAGGTGAAAGATCTTTAAAAGGAGAACTACAAACCACTGCTCAAAGAAATCAGAGATAACACAAACAAATGGAAAAACATTCCATGCTCATGGATAGGAGAAATCAATATCATAAAAATGGCAACACTGCTCATAGCAATTTATAGCTTCAATGCTCATCCTATTAAACTACTACTGCAATTCTTTACAGAACTAGAAAATATTATTTCAAAATTCATATGAAACAAACAAAAAAAAAATCAGAGCTCGAATAGCCACGGCAATCTATCCTAAGCAAAAAGAACAAAGCTGGAAGCATCACACTACCTGACTTCAAACTGTACTACAGGTTTACAGTAACCACAACAGCATGTTACTGGTACAAAAACAGACACATAGACCAACGGAATAGAATAGAGAACCCAGAAATGAGGCTGCACACCTACAACTATCCGATCTTCAACAAACCTGACAAAGACAAGCAATGGGGAAAGGATTTCCTATTCAATAATAGTGCAGGGCTAACTGACTAGCCATATGCAGAAGCTGAAAATGGGACCCCTTCCTTACACCATATAAAAAATTAACTTGTGATGGATTAATTACTTAAATATGAAACCCAAAATAGAAAATCCCTGGAAGACAACATAAGCAATACTATTTAGGACATAGGTAGGAACTGGCAAAGATTTTATAGTGTAGTTGCCAAAAGCAAAAATTGACAAATAGATTCTAATTAAAGAGCTTTTGCACAGTGAAAACAAAAACAAAAATGAAAACAAACAACAACAACAAAACTATCAACAGAGAAAACAGACAACCTACAGAATGGGAGAAAATATTTGAAAACTGCATCGACAAAGGTCTAATATCCAGCATCTGTAAGGAACTTAAACAAATTTACAAGATAAATCAACTCCATTAAAAGTGGGGAAAGAACATGAACAGATGCTTTTCAAAAGAAGACATACATACAGCCAATAATCATATTAAAAAAAAAACCTCAGCATCACTGAACATTAGAAAAATGCAAATCAAAACCACCGTGAGATACCATCTGACACCAGTCAGAATGGTTATCATTAAAAAGTCAAAAAATAACAGATGCTGGCAAGGTTGCAGAGAAAAAGGAATGCTTATACACTGTTGGTGGGAGTGTAAATTAGTTCAACCATTGTGGAAGACAGTGTGGCAATTGCTCAAAGACTTAAAAACAGAAATACCATTTGACCCAGCAATCTCAATACTAGGTACATACACAGAGGAATTTAAATCATTCTTCCACAAAGACACATGCATGTGTATGCTCATTGCAGCACTATTCACAATAGCAAAGACACGGAATCAACGTAAATGCCCATTAGTGATAGAATGGTTAAAGAGAATGTGGTACACATATACCATGGAATACTATACAGCCATAGAAAATAACGAGATCATGTCCTTTGCAGGAACATGGATGGAGCTAAAGGTCATTATCCTTATCAAACTAATGCAGGAAAAGAAAACCAAATACCTAATGTTCTCACTTATAATTAGAAGCTAAATGATGAGAACACATAGAAAGGAACAACAGACAGACAGTGGGGCTTATCAGAAGGTGAAAGGTGGCAGGAGAGGGAAGAACAGGAAAAATAACTTAGAGGTACTAGGTTTAATAACTTGGTGATGAAATAATCTGTACAATAAGCCCCCGTGACACAAGTTTACTTATGTAACAAGCCTTCACATGTACCCCTGAACTTAAAAGTTAAACAAATAAAAAAAATCACATTCAAAAATTTGATACCTAGTTTTTTTATTAATGATTATGATTGAGAAGAGATAAGAATGTAATACTTCAATTTTATGACTAGAAAATAGGAAGGATTTTCATGAATCCTTTTCAAAGTAAGAAATACTGTGTTATTCATCATTTTGCTTTATTTTTATACCATGTACTGACAGATTCAGTCATCTGAAGAGTTTCAGTAGATACTAGTAATGTATAAACATTTTTGTAAAAATATATGAAATTATGAAGCTATTCTTGCAGTTTCTTAGACATCTAAAGTAAATCTGAAAATTCTGTGCATAAGAAGAAATCAATTCTTAATACAAAAATGCAAACTACCAAAAACTTATTCTGCAAAATGACAGACATAATATGTATTGTCCCTTATTTTTTATTCCTTTACAAAATGAGAGATTACAAGGTATTTTTATTCAATATCATACTTTAATTACATAGATGCTATTAACTTAAACATTTTCAAATTTTAGCTGTTTGGGAGAACAGAGTTAAATTACCTGCTTTCAGATTTTTCCAAAAAGTAATGAACAATTTTGGATAAATGTCCTTAGGTAACACTTTTTTTAACTGTAAAATACTTTTAATTACATATTCTTCAACTAGTATAAGCACATTTTTAACTAATAAATATATGTACACACAAACAGGCTTTCCAGGGTCATATTGCTTAAATTATTCATTATTGGATATAGTGTTTGAAAACCAAAGTCTGTACTATTACAGATGCAACTATAGGCAGAAAAGACAATTTCGAATATATATTTGCATATCTCTACTTTTAGATTAAAATTTATACTCAAGTAACTTTAATATTATTTAACTAAAAGTATTTGAGAATCTGTTATAGGCAAATTAAATTTACTTTTATGATAACATAGTATGCTTATCCTAACAAATTATGTATGCTTCTATTTAATATTTACTTCTACTTAATATTTACTTCTATTCATTATTATACTTAAGATTCTGGCTAGAAAGAATATTAAAAGCCACATAGTTTGAAAGAAACACATCACAATACTCTATGCTGAAAATTCTAATAAATGTTCAGAGGACGAAAAATAGTTCAAGTGAATTTACTAGGCCATAGGAGAAAAGTCTATATAAAAATAAAATGGATTTCTATAAACTGTTAAGGAATACTTAGAAAATGAATTGAGAAACTATTTCCAATATCAGTATAAAACATGAAATAAACATTACAAACTTAACAAAATAAGTGCAAAGTCTATGCATTGAAAACTATGAAATATTGCTAAGAAAAATTAAAGATTTAAATAAATGAAGAGAATATGTTCATGAATTGTCAGTTTTAACATTGTAAAAATTCTCACCAGATTGATTTATACATTCAAGGCAACCCTTGAATAAGGCAACCCTTATCCAAATCTGTTAGTTTTGCTTTTTATGAAATTGATAAGATGATACTAAGATATATATTAATGTGCAAAGGATATATGAGAGACTAAAGAATTCTGAAAGTTAAAATCTTTACAGGACTATATTACCTGGCTCTGACACTTATAATGAATCCAGTTATAAAAGTATTTAGAATGATAAAACAGAATGAAGGGTTCAAAATAGACCCACATATATGATAAATCAATGACAAGGTGACTCTATACAGAAAAGTAATTTTTTAAAGAAATAGTGCTTTAAAAAATGGGAAAAAACTATCTCTAAACTGCAAACCATTCACAAAACTATTTAGAAAAGAGTAGCATGTGGATGGATCATGTATTTATACATAGCATTAAAACTATAAAACTTATTTAAAAAAATAGTAGAATATCTTCGTAACCTTGGGGTAGACAAAGATTACTTAGCTATAACACAGAAAAGATGAGCTATTAAAAGAAATGACTAGACTTCATCAAACTTACAAATTCACTGGAAGGCATCACTATGAAAATATAAAGGCAAACTACAGATGGGGAGAATATATTTCCAGTCCATATATTTGAAAAATTACTGTATAAAATATAAAAATAAAACTTGTAACTCAATAAGAAAAATAAAAGAATTTCAATCCAAAACTGGAAAAAAAAATTTAAAGAGACACTTTATCAAAGAGAATGTATTAGGTTGGTGCAAAAGTTTTTTTTCACTGAAAACCACAATTACTTTTGCACCAACTTAATACATGGCTAATAACCACATTTAAAAATGTTAATTGGTTATCATGGATATGCAAATTAAATGCACTAGGACATATTGCATCATATCTATTAGAAAAGTGAAAATTAGACTGACTACAACTAATATGTTGAGCAACTGAAATTCTCATACATTGCAGCTACATATGTAAAATAGTACAATCATTTTGGAAAAGTATTTGTCATTATCTAATGACATGGAAAATAAACTTGACAATTGACCTAGCAATACTACACTTATGCAGTCATTCAAGAAAAACGAAGACGCAGGCTCACATGAATACTTCTGCATGAATGCTCATAGTGATTTCTTCAAAAGAGCCCCAAATTAGAAACAAGACAAATGTCAATCAACAGATGAATGAAGAAGCAAATTGTGATATATCCATACAATGGAATAATTGTCAGCAATAAGAACAGTATAAATTACTGATATATAACATACACAAATTAGTGATATTTAAAAAGAAACAATAAAAGACCACAAAAAAGGATGAATCTGAAAAGCATGCTAAGTGAGAAAAGTCAGACAGAAAACACTGCATACTGTATAATTACATTTATATAATTGTGAGTTAAACGTATTTTTTATATAAATTACATCTTGGTAAAGTTTATTTAAAAAACAAAAATAAGCACTAGTGTATTTTATTTAAACTAACTTTACATATTACTGGAGTCTTAAATAGTTTAGCCTTTGATCTGCATTACTATGTTTATGGTTGCTAAGTTAATTATGATTAAACACAAGTAATAAGCCAGAGCTCTGAAAGTTTAAAATTATATATATATATAGTGTGTGTGTATATATATATGTGTGTGTGTGTATATATATATACATATGTGTGTGTGTGTGTGTTTCCTTTCATACTTTTATATATTGTGAAAGGAAAATAAATCTTGGGGTCCCCAAATCACCAAGCTAAAGGGAAAAATGAAGCTGGGAACTGGCTAGGGCCAACCTGCCTTGTATTCTATTCAAAGTCATCCCTCTGCTCACTGAGATAAATGCATATGTGATTGCCACCTTTGGAGAGGCGAATCAGAAACTCAAAATGCAACCATTTGTCTCTTATCTACTTATGACCTGGAAGCCCCTCTCCACTTCTCATCTTCCCGCCTTTGCTTCTCATTGTCCCGCCTTTCCAGGCTGAACCAATGTTCATCTTACATATGTTGATTAAGGTCTCATGTCTCCCTGAAATGTATAAAACCAAACTATGCTCTGACTACCTTGGGCACATGTCAGAACCTCCCAAGGCTGTGTCACAGGCACTTACCCTCAACTTTGGCAAAATAAACTTTCTAAAGTAATGGAGACCTGTCTCAGATTTTCAGGGTTCAAAATATATATGAAACTGGCCCAATTGTCCCATAGAACTGCCGTTTTCAGCTTTTTGACTAAACATAGAAATTGACCCTTCTGGTCTTAAAACTTTGAACTTACATTTGTCTTCTCTGAGTTTCTTCCTTAGGAGACCAACCCTTAGACAAGGAACTGAAATTTACCAGATCATTGTATCCAGACAATGAGATGCCAGACCCGTCATCTGGTGTGATTTTCTTACCCTTCCCTACTTCCTGCTTACCACCTCCTCTCCCTTAATCCTCCCAAATTCCTGTTTTCCCCACATGTAGCTAAATTTCTGCTCCTAATTTTAGTTGGTTTGGAGACAGACTGTGACATCTCTCATCTCCTGGGCTGTAGCTCCCAAATAAAGTCTTCTTCCTTGGCAAAACTCACTGTCTCAGTGATTGGCTTTCTGTGCCATGAGCAGTAGGACCTAGACCAAACCCCTGGTGTTTTGGTAACATATATCGGGATAGATGGATAGATAGATAGATAGATAGATAGATAGATAGATAGATAGATAGATAGAGCAAAAACCAATATTACTTTTGCATCAACCTACATAAGAAACACTGAAAATTCATGTGTCTGGAGAGATATTATCTGCTCATACCAAGCAATGTGAAATTTTTTTACCAAGTAAGAGAGGCATCAAAGTGAGCTATTAATTATCCATGCCTCACTGAGGAGAGTACAGGTAAAATCTCTGGCTGTGAAAGAGCAGAGGAAGCAAAGGATGACTTTATCATTGATCCAGTAAAATATGAGACTGATAAGTCATCTTGCATACTCCTGAGGGGTTGGGGAATATTCTGTCACATAAATATGGCATTAAATTTAAATAAATAGAAATATTTTTATACAAAAAGATGAGAAGAACATGAACATGAGGGAGTAGGCAGAGAGGCAAAAAACAAAAAAGGATGCAGTCACAAAGAAAATGAATTAGTAGAAAGTGAAATGAGACTGGATTTTATGGAATTACTCTTTACATATATATGTGTGTGTATATATATCAATATATACTTATATATACATATATATCAAGCATTTTAAGTGACAAAGTGAATTCACACAAATGGATATATGCATTTAAACACATTATTTTTGGTAAAGAAAAAAGTAGCAAAAGTGGCAGTGAGAAATAGACATCAGAATATGTGAGACTGTAGAGAAAAGGAACAATAAAATAAAATAAAACTTAAAGCGACTGTTATCTTGTTTTAATGATATTCTTCCTAACATATTTATTAATTATAAATACTTAATTTTAACTGAAATTTTTAGCATATATGACATTTTCTTTGTTCTCTGTTTATATATATAGAATATATGTATGCATGTATATATATATACACACATATACACACAGAGAGAGAGAGAGACAGTGATAGTAGGCTTAATAACCACTCTGATCATGGCTCACAGTGTCTTTTTTGGCAACACTACTTTTCTTCACTTACAGCATGGGGTTTTTGTTCATATTGAGTTGCTCCATCTCAGACACCAGCACGACTGCAAGGGATGTTGAATAGTCTCAGTTCTCATCAATAGGGAGTTATGTTACAGTGCTTCCCACTGTGCTTCATTGAGTCCTCAGTACTTTTCTTCAAGCTCCTTGCTTGCATCAGTCTCACTTTCATCTTTCTGTGGTTTCGTACTATTACTCATTCTTTTCCCACACCAAACCCAGCTCATCTGTTTCAAGGGCATCTTTGATGCCAGTGGATTGACTACAATAGAAAGCAATCTAGAGGCAATCCTTCACAGTCATTCATTAATAAAGACATTATCATAACTCATATATATATATACACACATATATACAGTTATAGGTATATATGTGAAACCTTGGATTTTGATATATGTTCTAAAGGGACTATAATGAAAGCAAGATAACATTTTTTTGTCATTTTTTTCACTGACTATTTTCAAATCTTGATTTTATGCTCCCTGTTTTTGTTTTGCCCTTTGTTTTTTCCTGAAACATTTTCAAAAAGTTATAATAGAAGATTAGAATAAGAAAAAATGACATGGTTATCTCAGAGCTGTTGTATGCAAGACTTTCATAGACTTGCTTCAATTTCTCATCCCACAGTCTTGTTACTCGAGTTGGCCTGGATCTTTGACCTGCCTGCTTGTTATGCATGCACTATGTATGTGAGTGATGAAAATGAGTGTCTCTATCAAGCATATGATATTCTTTCATCTCTCTCTCTCTCTATTGGATGCAGTTAAGATTCCAGGTGTTCTGTTGCCAAAGGGCCAATATATTAATTTATTAGCTGTGTGGTCTTTGAAAAGTTATGTAACTTGATCCTTTATTTTGTCAAATTTAGAAGATTTCATTTTATAAATTCAATGTGATTATATTATATAATAATAATCATCACATTTAATCTATAAAATGAAGATTGAATTAATAATTTACATTAGTAATTGATATGGTTAGGTCTTGTCTCCCCACCCAAATCTCATCTTGAATTGTAGTCCCCATAATCCCCGCCTATCAAGGGAGAGACCAGGTGAAGGTAATAGAATCACGGGGGTGGTTTCCCCCATGCTGTCCTCATGATAGTGAGTTCTCACAAGATCTGATAGTTTCATAAGCAGCTCTTCCCCCTTTGCTCCGCATTTCTCTTTCCTGCTGCCTTGTGAAGAAGGTGCTTTGCTCCCTCTTTGCTTTCTTCCTTGATTGTAAGTTTCCTGAGGCCTCCCCAGCTATGCTGAACTGTAATTCAATTAAACATCTTTCCTTTATAAATTACCCAGTCTCAGGCAGTTCTTTATAGCAGTATGAAAACAGACTAAGATAGTAATTTAACATAAAATTCTGATATTGTTAAATGTTTAATAAATGGTTATTACTAGATGTACTGCATCCTTTTCTTCTGCATGGTATTATTAGATACCTTCTGTCTTATAAACTCCATATTTTAGCCATTCTTCCTTCTTACACTAACACCCTAGCTTTTTGCTTTTCTCAATAATCGAACCTCTTGAAATGGTACTCTATATTATTTTCAGCTCTGAATATTCCTTATAAACAATTCAAGGTCATTTCTGCATATATAAATTTCCTTAAAATTCACCTATGGCTTGCTAAATTTGAAGTCAAATTTTACAAAATTTTTGAAGTATGTGATGACTTTTTTTTAAACCTAACACATATAGAAACACTATAATCTCTCATATAACCTTTAACCCAAATAAAGGCATAAAGAGAAGGGAAGTCAGGAGGCTATTTCTCAGAGGCTGGAGATGATGGTTTAGTTCTCCAGCCTATGTTCTGCCCAACTAGAAATATGCTTATATAAAAATGAAACTTTCACTCCTTCCCCAAAACACATAAACAACAACAACAACAACAACAACAACAACAACACAACAACAAAGAATGCTGCAGGGAGCAAAGAAAATCTGCTGGGTTGATGATTAGATCTGTGCTGTTCTCCATGTTTCCATAGGACAGGAGCTGTGAGTTATAAATACAGTAATTGTTTTCAGTATTACAAACCATGGGATCTGCATGGAGGCATATTCAAAACTAACCAACCTGGAAAGGTGAGGAAAGAGTCAAAGATGGTAGATGAATTCAACTCAAGATAAGTTTATTGAGCAGAAAAAAGGTAAGTAACAAAATAAAAAGAAAATAAAAACTAAGTTTTTTAAAAAATAAACAAGTAATTAAATCCATCTTGATATGGATTTATTCTAGGTAAAATTAAAATAATTGAATAATTTACAGAATGAATATAAAATAATTGCATGTAGATATTTAAGAAGATAAAGAGAGATGTAGCTTTGCCCCCATCTCGATGTTGTTTATTTTTTTTAGAAAAAGAAAGTGTACAGTTTTCTTTCCTGACAGACTACTGCTCTAACAGATTTCAAACTCCAGCATCAGACACAAACAATATCCTTAAAATATTTTTCAGCACCTCCCTTCCAATGGTTATACTTTTTGGATAGAAGACTAACTGTAAGAGATTTTGGTACTAAAAGTGGTTCCAGAAAACAAAACCTTAATGGATAATTTCAGTGAATTGGTTCTTAGTTACCTGGAGTTGTTTCGCTGATTTTACTAGATTTAAAGATATTATTGACCCTGTTCCTAAAGGAGCATACAGTAAAAAAAATTATGCAAATAATCACATGTATCTAGCTGTAATAAAATGTCTATGGAGGGCTACCAAGATTCTTTTCTATAGAGCATTTCAATGAAATAAAGTAAAATTGTGTGGGTTAACTGCCTCTCAGTGCACTGGAGAGCTGGGGACAATGAAAATCTGAGTTCGTGGCTTGAAATTCCAGCTTAAAGTCCACATAGGGGATCTGAAATAGTCTACGACTGCCTAAAATAAAACCTTATCTCTTATAGGTGCAGTGCCAAGATTTCTGTAAGTCAAACAGAAAATCAAATCCGTAGATGGCAGAATTACAGTACAAATTGAATTCCCATATTATTAGGATTTATAATAATATTAAATTAGCAGCATTGATTAGAAAGAAATGACACACTAAAATTTAAGATAGGATCATATGAGAAGTTTCTAATACAGGTGAAGATCTTGAACCTCTAACTCCTGCAGATCTTTTCTTGCCAGTAGAAGAAATTTTTCCACCCTTATTTGATAAAGGCTTTTCCCCCTTTCACTTGAAGCAGTAATAATGTTCTCAACTACAGTAGTTTTAAGGAACTATTGATTCTTCTCAGGACCTATTTCCACTTATTGCTTTGAGACCTGAGACCCATGAGGATGTGTAATGTACACCAAAATACTATAGAACTTTCATAAATTATATCTATAAAAACCTGGAGAACATGTGAGGGATCAGGTGGAAAGAATATGAATTTGCATCAGGCCAAATTTATTTATATGGAATCACTAAGCCAAAATGCTAAAATCAAAGTGTTAGTTTTTTACTGGAAACTAACAGTCTGGACTGGAAATGGTTTTAACATTTGCTAACTGAAATTTAAATCCAAACATAGTCTAATTTAAATGAAATTGTTATGCTGAAACCTTTCTAGAATACTGTAAAGAAATGTATCCAGCAGCCTAGGGAGACTATATTATTAGATTAAATCTATCATGTAAGACCTCTTCACTATGTCAAGATGAAAGGTCAAGATGAGACTCACTTCGCCACTGTTGTGAGACAAGCATTCAAGACGGAAGCCCAAACATCCTTGAAGAGTTTTACGGTTGCTCTGCCTGTAGGCCAGGAATGTCAGAGGGAATTGCTACCATGGGACTGGGCTCTCAATTCAGCATGTCAGAGCCAAGTGATAACAAAAAGTGAGCATCATTGTAATGGACTTCACTTTCAAAGCCATAATCGGAGTAATCGGACCCATAGAGATCTTTGGTGTTGTCTAGTTAATATATCCCTAGATCAGAAATAGATGACTATTTCTGATAGTCTTACTTGACATTTATAAGTGATAAATTTCTAGGTCCAGTGAACACAAATATGTATCAAATTACCTTATTAGAGAGTCAGGGTTCCTCACTCAATTTCTTGACTTCAGCCAGTTCACAAATTCTATGCTCTGTGAATGAAGAGGAGGCTTAGTCTTCTTGCAGAAGGAGCCTGCTAGAGTGTAAAATATTTATATTGCTAATATTCTTCCCAGTCATTTGCAAGGGACCTGTGGCCATTCGTTAAGGATGACAATCAATTAGAGAGGGGGAAATAGTCAGACTTTGGAGGGGTAACTGGGCACTGACTCTGAATTCTTTTTTTTTTTTAACTTTTAAGTTTGGGGTACATGTGCAGGATATGCAGCTTTGTTACATAGGTAAACGTGTGTCATGAGGATTTGTTATACAGATTATTTCATCACCCAGGTATTAAGCCTGGTATCCATTAGTTATTTTTCCTGGTCCTATCCCTCCTCCCATCTCACAACTTCAATAGGTCTGAGTGTGTGTTGTTCTCCTCTATGTGTCCATGTGTTCTCATCATTTAGCTCCCACTTATAAGTGAAAACATGTGGTATTTGGTTTTCTCTTCCTGCATTAGTTTGCTAAGGATAATGGCCTCCAGCTCCATCCATGTTCCTGCAAAAGATATGATCTCATTCTTTTCTATGCCTGGATAGTATTCCATGGCATATATGTACCACATTTTTTTTAATCCAGACTATCATTGATGGGCATTTAGGTAAATTCCATGTCTTTGCTATTGTGAATATTGTTGCAATGGACATACATATGCATGGGTCTTTATGATAGAAAATTTATATTCCTTTGAGTACATACCCAGTAATGGGGTTGCTGAGTTGAATAGTATTTCTGTCTTTAGGTCTTTGAGCAATCGCCACACAGTCTTCCACAATGGTAGAACTAATTTACAGCCCCACTGACAGTGTACAAGTATTCTTTTATCTCACTAGCATCTGCTATTTTTGACTTCTTAATAGCCATTCTGACTGGTGTGAGATGGTATCTCATTGTGGTTTTCATTTGCATTTCTTTAATGATCAGTGATGTTGAACTTTTTCATATGATTGTTCGCTGCGTGTATGACTTCTGTGAAGGGTCTGTTCATGTCCTATGCCACTTTTAATGGGGTTAATTTTTCTTGCATATTTGCTTAGGTTTCTTATAGATATTGGATATTAGACCTTTGTCAGATACATAGTTTTCAATTATTTTCTGCCATTATGTAGGCTGTCTGTTTACTCTGTTGATAGTTTCTTTTTTATAGTAAAGGAGCTCTTTAGTTTAATTAGATCCCATTTGTCAATTTTCACTCTTATTGCTAATTGCTTTTGGCATCTTCGTTATGAAATCTTTCCCCATGCCTATGTCCTGAATGGTATCACCTAGGTTGTCTTCCAGGATTTTTCTAGTTCTGGGTTTTACATTTAAGTATTTAATCCATCTTGAGATAATTTTTTATGTGGTGTAAGGAAGGGGTCCGGTTTCAATTTTCTGCATATGGCTAGTCAGTTATCCCAGCACCATTTATTGAATAGGGAGTCCTTTCCCTTTTGCTTTTGTTTTTGTCAGGTTAGTCCATGATCAGATAGTTGTATGTGTGCGGTCTTATTTCTGGGTTCTCTACTCTGTTCTACTGGTCTATGTGTCTGTTCTTGTACCAATACTATGCTCTTTTGATTATTGTACAAAAAGAATAAAATACCTAGGAATACAGCTAACAAGGGAGGTGATAGATCTCTACAAGGGGAACTACAAAACACTGCTCAAAGAAATCAGAGATGACACAAATAAATGGAAAAACATTCCATGCTCATGGATAGGAAGAATCAATATTATTAAAACGGCCATACTCCCCAAAGCAATTTATAGATTCAATGCTATCCCCATTAAACTACCATTGAAATTCTTCACAGAACTAGAGAAAACTGTTTTAAAATGTATATGGACACAAACAAACAAAAGCCTGAATAGGCAAGCCAGCCAAGTAAAAAGAACAAAGCTGGAGGCATCATGTTATCCAGCTTCAAACTATATTACAGGGCTACAATAACCTGAACTAATTCTTGAAGGCTCAAAATGTCTTTGTGGTCCACAGGTCAGAGAAGGATCAGAAATAATCACTGGAGTTTTTGCCCAGGTGTATGTTACTATTGGCCCAGCAGTTCCCCAATTATCCCATGGTTTTTCACAGTTTTAGAGTGCATAATTGGATATGTTTAGATAAATATAATCAGATAGAGGTATACAGATACATAATGCATCTATATTGCTTTTTTGAGCCATGGAGTGAGGGTTTCATGGCTTTTTATAATAGCAAAAGCCACATGGAAACAACTAGAACTGCTGATACTTTTCAAACAGTAAACAGAAAACAATTATTCTTAGAGACATTCTTAGAAGGATTCAAGGGATCAGTGCCAGCCTCAAGAACTTGGAAGATGTAGGCATGATGACTCCTATTATATACATGTTTAAGTCACCTATTTGACCTGTGCTGAAACAGACTTGGAAACTTATGGATTATTTTAACTGTTAGGTTGTGAATGATTGTATCTGAATTTTCAGAGGTGATAGGATGCATCACCATATCCAATGAACCTGGTATGCAACTAATGATTGGGAAAATACATTTTTAAAAATTTTATCTTTTAGTAGTGACTATCAAAAGCAAATAATTTCCATCTGAAAGGGCCAACAATGTACCTTCACTGTTACATGTCTGCAGCTATATCAAGTATCTAGCCCTATGTTAAAGTCAAGTCCATAGGGCATGGGTTGCCTTTCTATCTCATGGGTCAACACAATTTTCTAATGATGCTGATTGGATCTGATGAATAGGAAGTAGCAACTACTCTAGACATGTTTTTGGGACATGTGAAATACATGCTTTGGATATGGATTTTCCTGCAATGCATCTGTCAAAATGACTATTTTGGGACATACAGACTAACTTATTCCCTATCATGGTATTATATACAGCACTGCTTCTGACCATGGAGATCATTTCATAGCAAATGAATTATGAAAACAGGCTCATACTCATGGAATTCACATGTCTGGCCATGTTCTCCAACATCCTGAAGCAGCTTACCCAATAGAATTATGAAATGGCACTTTGAAGACTTAGTAAAAGTGACAGCTTTGGAACGTGGGTCATTTTTTTTTGCAAGATGGACTATATGCTTTAAATTAGTGACCAATATAAGATTGTCATCTTCTCAGAGCCACAATTCATGGGTCTGGAAGTCAAGGGGTCAAAATTGGAGTTCCTCTTCTCCCTATTACCCTTAGTAAGCTTTTGAAAAATTTTTGTTTCCTATCCCTGAAACTTTGGGCTCTGGTGTTGTGGAATTCTTATTTCCACCGTGGTCCACAGCAGTGGTTCCATTTATACAGATGTTGAGGCTGCCACGTTGGGTTATCCAGGTTAGTCAATCAATGGACAAAGGAAATGGTTACTCTACTGGTGACTGATTTTGAAATTTAAGGCAGAATTTGGATTACTGCCAAGCAGTAGGGTAAGGAGGAGTATGTCTGGAATGTAGAAAATCTCTTAGTGTGCTACTTAGTACTCCCATTTTCTGTGACTGAAGTCAACGAAAATCTACAATTACTCAATTAGAGAGAATGTAGCTCTTGCTCTAGGGAATAATGCTTGGATCGTCTCAGCAGGCAATGAACCACAGCTAGTTGAGCTGATTTCTAAGGGCAAAGATATAGAGAATAGGCAGTGAGAGGAGTTAGTTACAAATATCATCTACCGCTATGAGAAAAGCTACAGAAACAAAAACTGCAATAGTTATGAGTAGTTATTTTCTTATTGTAATATAAATATTTTTTGCTTGTGTATGAATGTATATTTAAGAATTCCCCCTTTATTTTTCCAGTGCCAACTACAAGAAAGCACATTAATAGTAGTTAACTTTGTATCTCAGTATTTAAGTTATAAAGAGGGTAATATGACTCAGGTTAAAGAATAATGAACATCAACCAGAGGCATAAAATGGATTTATTATCTTTTTTTAGGGAAAAAGTAAGCTTGTTTTCAGTTGCATGTGCGATAGCTGCATCGTGTCTGGTGGAAACATGACTCCATAATTGTCTTTGTCTCTATTTAGAAGTTACATAGGGTTTTTACAGGCCTGTTTGGGTGCAGAGTTTATGAAAACCATATTGAGGTGGCTTTATTATACATACATACAGATATGTATTCTTGAAAACCATGAGTATAGATATATACCATGATGTGTATGTGCACACACACACAAACATACACACGTGTGTGTGTAATGTGTATATATATGCATATACAACATGGTGTGTGTAAATACACACACACACACACATACTCACATACACATACACATAGTATATATACACACGTGGCATATATATATGCACACACATATACATATAAATTTACATATACATATGCATGTACACACACATATATATATACCTACATGTATACACACATATATACGTGTGTGTGTGTATATATAGATATATAAAACCAGCTGAATTTCCCCATAAAAATACTATTTATACTATTTACTTATTTGTGAATAAGCATAGAAATTGACCTTCCTAGTTTTAAAACTTGGAACTTACGTTTGTTTCGTGAGTTCCTTCCTCAGGAAACCAACTGTATTAGTCAGGGTTCTCTAAAGGGACAGAACTATTAGGATGCATGTATATATGAAGGGGAGTTCATTAGGAAAATGGACTCACACAATCACAGGGTGAAGTCCTATGATAGGCCGTCTGCAACCTGAGGAGCAAGGAAGCCAGTCCGAGTCCCAAAACCTCAAAAGAAGGGAAGCCAACAGTGTAGCCTTTAGTCTGTGGCTGAAGGCCTGAGAGCCCCTGGCAAACCACTGGTGTAAGTCCAGGAGTCCAAAAGCTGAAGAACTCGGAGTTTGATGTTCGAGGGCAGGAAGCATCCAGCGCAGGAGAAAGATGGAGGCTGGAAGACTCAGCAAGTCTGCTCATTCCACTTTCTTCTGCCCGCTTTATTTTTGCTGCACTGGCAACTGATTAGATGGGGCCCACCCAGATTGAGGGTGGGTCTGCCTCTCCCAGTCCACTGACTCAAATGTTGATCTCCTTTGGCAACACCCTCACAGATGCATCCAGGAACAATATTTTGCATCCTTCAGTCTAATCATGTTGACACTCAATGTTAACCATCACACCAACCCTGAAGCAAGGGACTGAAACTCACCAGATCACCTCATCCAGTCAATCCAGATCACTCACTCATCCTGATTGTTTCCTTAACCCTCTCTAATTCTTGTTTTCCTGCATGTAGCTACATCCCTTCCCTACTATATAAACCCCCTAATTTAGTCAGTTGAGGAGACAGATATGAGATTGATCTCCCCTTCTCCTTGGCTGAGAATAAAACATCTTCTTCTCTAGTAATACTTGTTATCTCAGTGATTGGCTTTCTGTGTTGTGAGCAACAGGGCCTAGACGGAACCCCTAGCATTTTAGCAACATATTACATATATAATACATATACTGGGTTTTCAAGAGTACATGTGTAATTTAGCTCTAAATTATATTTATTTTAGCTATAAATTATGTTTTCTAAAATTCCCTTTTCCATACTTTCTGGCTGAAGTTAGCCATAAGATATGTTTTGTGTGAAATCTGGAATGTGAGCATGAAGCAGCACCCACCTTAATTTTATAATCAGAAGGTTGGTGAAGAAGCACCAGGTGCTGTTTCAGCTCACACATGTTGATACTCATCAGCTGACTCACCTTGTTGGCGTGGTGGAGCAGCTTGCCAGGAGCTGTTCCACCCTCCCCAACGATTGAACCAAATGCATATTTAGTCTCATAATGAAGTTTGCCAACTTTCCCCAGAGGACAGAAACATGATCAAAATTGGAAGTGGTGAGAGACTAACATGTTTTCCAATCTTTATGTAATTAATCACAATCTGCCTTTGCTCTCTCCAATTTTATATCCACTATCTACTTTTTCTTCTTCATTGCCTGACCGTCACACTTCAAGGTTTAGCATGAAAAAAAAAAAGACTTTTAGAGTCCTTTAAACCATCTTTCATGGTTATATGCAGTCAAATCTTTGTAATATTACACGTAAAAGTTCTGCTTCTCTGAAACCTGCATGATATGTAGGCCTGCCAGATGTTGAATGTTATTATGAAACTTCTGTATTTTAAAAAGTAAATTATGAGAGTATGAACAGACATAGGAGTACAGTAGAAAATGTAGATGTGGGAACATTTCATATGGAAATTTCATGTGGGATAAAAGTAGCATCTCAAATTAGTGGAGAAATAGTGATCTAGAATATATGATGTTGAGATAACTGGAAAGATCTTTGGGAGAAAAGATAAAATTGGATTCATATGTCATGCTATATACAAAGCTAAATCTGAAATGGATCAGGAATCTAAATTTTAAAAATGGAATCATACAAATACTGAAAAAGGAAAATATACAAGCACTAGACAGGTGATTTCCATGAAAATATAAATTCAACTACTGATTTTAAATCACTTATTTTCTGTGTGAATGTGGGCAGTTACAATTTCCCACAGGTAAAATATGAATAATAAAAACATCTAGCACACAACATACTACAAATATGAAATATGAAAGTGCAGGTCAACTGTACATGAGCATATATTATGGCCAGAGTAAGAACAAAAAAATACTGTAATCATTATTTTTTGTTGTTGGTAATAGTAATAGCAGCAGTGGCATTGGTAAGGATACAAGCAGGTTCAGGATAATTTTAGCCTAAGGGAAATTGACTGATACCAAGAACATGTGAGTAAAAAAATATGGCTTGAAAACTATGACTGTAAAATATGTAAACATTTTTTGGAACGAGAAATGACTGTTATCTGATTAGTCTGGAAGGCCTGCCAAATAAAATTCAAAAGATTTAAAATAAACTGTGATAACATTTTGAAAGACACATTGAGTAGGTTTTATGAAAAGTAGTTAATTAAAGTCACTTTTAATGGAAGATCCAAAATCTTAAAAACGTTATTACAATTTTCTAGTAATATCACAGACACTAATTAAAAGACAAGAGTTATAAAAATTACTTTTGTATTTAACTCTCTTAACTATTGAAAAGAAGCCAAACATTATTTTCTTCTTTTAATTACAACAGTTTCATACACTCATTAACAAAACAAGTTAATATGCCTTACTGCTTTTTTTCTAGTGTAACAATATGTGTACAAATTTGAAATTACCATACTTTCCTCAATAATCTTTAATGAAGATATATCACTGCTAATCTCAAACAAAGTTCTCTTCCATATCATAAAATTGTATTAAAGACTGATACACAAGGCTCTCTGATTAAAGATGCTGGTACAGTTGCAGTTTGTTTCTCCTAGACAAGCCTATTATATAATCATGCTTTATATAATACAATAATTTATTTAAAACGTACAATTTACTTAAGAGATATAAAGGAATATGGAAAAATGATACTTTAAGTAAAGATTAAAGTCTGGGTTAACAAAAATTCTGATGTACTGAAATAAAGCACAGAATATAGAATTGTATTTGTGATCATTTTAGTTTAGCTAAAATGTTTTAGTTTCTTTTTTTTTTTTAGAGACAGTGTCTCACTTTGTCACCCATGCTGGAGTGCAGTAGTGTAATCATATCTCACTGTAGCATTGAATTCCTGGGCTCAAGTGACCCTTTCACCTCAACCTCCTGAGTAGCCAGGACTACAGGTGCACACCACTATACCTGGCTAACTTTTTAAATGCTTTTTTTTTTTTTTTTTTTTTTGGTAGTAATGAGGTCTCGCTATGTTGCCCAGGCTATTTTTTCAAATATTTAGAACTGGGATTTCCTGTTTCAAATTACCCTGATAGCAAGCCTAGAAACCTTTCTCCCCAATTTCTCTAATTGACTACCCATGGAAACACTGAAATAAATGAAAACTTCCATTTACACAAACAGCAATCAATTTTGCATCAGTGGCACCATCTGAGGAATGTACGACAGTTGTTCCCCCTTATCCATGGGGCATATGTTCCAAGTCCCCCAGTGAATTCCTGAATCTGCAGATACTACCAAACCCTATGTTTACTATAATTTGTCTTATATATACACTGGAGCAAAATTGTATTACATTCATCATCCCCTGGCCCAGGGGATAAATATAGTTTAATTAATCAGTTAGGCACAATAGGATATTAAAAGCATAACATAATAAAGTAAAATAATGTGGTACTGTAATAAAAGTTATGCAAATGTGGTATCTCTCTCTCTCAAAGCATTTCATGGTACTGCACTCACCTATTTTCACACTACAGTTGACCATGGATAACTGAAGCCCTGGAAGTGAAACCATGTGTAAAGGGGATGTATTGCATCTAGATCTTCTCTATAATGATAAAAAAAGGCACAAAGGATGTAAGTAAGTTGCCCTATTAGTAAATAGTGAATGACCAGTCAAACACAAGCAGTCAATTCTGGTATTTACAATCTGCATTGTTATACTTTAATGCCTCTCCAACACGCAAAGAAGGCAGATGGGGTTGAGAAAACTATTGTAAACATTATTCTTCTTAGCACACACATATATACATAGACACTCCCCTCTTGAAACAAAATGGGGAGATACTGTGAACCTCCCAGTTGGGCAATCTGTCAACTTGCCATACCATATGAGCCCCATATGGCTCTCCATTTGGCATTCATACATCTATTTGAATTCTAAAATGAATAGATTAATAAATAGGATTTATTGCAGAAGAGAAACACAAACCAAAAGACCAATAAAAAATAGAAGGCATAAGAGTTCCTAATCCACCCATCATATACAGGAAAGCATTGAGGTAGGCCAACTTTTAAGATGGCTCCTAAGATTCCCTCCTGCTCACAACCCGTATAATCCTCTCCACTTGCCGCTGGGCCAGGGGATGATGAATGTAATACAATTTTGCTCCAGTGATTAGGTTATGTTATAGGATAAAGGTGACAGGATTTTCACATGTAATTGAGATCCCAAATCAGTTGATTTTTGATTAATAAAAAGTAAACTTGGGGTTTACCTGACTTAATCAGGAGAAAGCCCTTTAAAGAGGGTGGGGAAAGGCACTTTAATAGTGGCCTTCAAGAAGCAAACAGCATGTTGTGAACTATTAAGGAGAGGGGTAGTCTCTAGGAGTGAAAGCACAAAGAAAAAGAATTCTGCCAACGTCTCCAGGGAGGTTGGAAGTGCCTCTTAACCCTAGTCAAGCCCCCAAATGAGAGGGCAGCCTATTTGGACACCTTGGTATCACCCTTGTGAGACCTTAAGCAGAGAACACAGCTAAGCTGTGCCCAGTCTTTTGACCAATGGAAACTGTGAGATAATAAATGGATGTTGCATTAAGCTATTAAATTTGTGAATCTGTAGCATAGAAAACGAACACAAGGATGTTGGGTTCAGGCTTTTGTTGGGGCAGTCTAGGTCTGAATTCCTATAGGGAGACACCTTTGGTTTTTTGTGTTTTTTGTGTGTGTGTGCGCGTTTTTTTTTTTTTTTTTTCTTTTTGAGACAGAGTCTCACTCTGTTGCCCAGGCTGGAGTGCAGTGGTGAGATCCTGCCTCTCTGCAACCTCCACCTCCTGGGTTCATGTGATTCTCCTGCCTCAGCCTCCCGAGTAGCTGGGACTATAGGTGCCCGCCATCTCACACCCGGCTAATTTTTGTATTTTTATTAGAGACAGGGTTTCACCATATCGGCCAGCCTGGTCTCCAACACCTGACCTTGTGATCCACCTGCTTCAGCCTCCCAAAGTGCTGAGATTACAGGCGTGAGCCACCGTGCCTGGTGACCCCTTTTTTTTCTCCCTCTTTTAATAGAATAAGCCTTGTCTGTGGTGAATGTACAGGCTGCTTGGCACCAGGCTGTCTAGAATTGATGTGCCAGCATTTTAGGGTACTGGTCTGGGACCTTGAGAACTATGAGAAGGTGCAGTTTTCCCTGATGGAGGAGGAACTTCTCATTCTGGTGAATAATTGGGGTTAGGTGAAGTTTTCTCTATGGGAGATGGAGAAAGCACATGCCAGATAGGTCATTGACTAGGAAAACCTGGATGAGTGTCTGAGTGGTTTTCACATGATCCTAGTCACTACATTCCTTTCTCCCACTGTCTACCCCATCAATTGTGACCCACAGTTACAGGAGTGCCCTTCACAAAATAGCATAATTATTTCTTACACAGTGCTCTTTGCTGTTTGGCCAAGTTCTATCCACTGTCTTGTCGACTAACAAAAAAAGTCAAGCTTTTAAAAAATTAAAGCCAGTTTTTATTCAGAAGTCTTACAGAGGATGAAAGACCAAGGCCTAGACCCGAGGAACAGTCCTGTACGACTGCTCCAACAAAGTGTTTGAGCTCACAGTTTACATATAGGTGGTGAAGATTCAGTACGTGCAAAATCACGTCAAAGTTTGGGCATAACAGTACATCTGCTTATAGATCACTAAAGCACATTTGGTTATATAGATTGCAGAAGCATAATCGCTAACGCTGGCTGTCAGATGTTATCTTATGTGCAGGGAAAGGCAAGGGCCAGTGTCATTGTCTTTTAAGGAATATAGTAATTCAGGCAAGAGACATGGGGGGGTGTAGTTCTCTATCCTGTTTTGACTTCAAAGTAACTTTCCAGAGAGTTACACATCTTCAGAGTAAGGGGCTTTATGAAATTATGCTGGGAAGCAGCAATGAGCAAACGTGGATTCTTATGTTTCCTACTTTGTCTCACAGTTTGCTCCTGAGACTCCTATATGCATTGAGAAGTAGCAATGCTCCCTAAGAACAGGGAGTAAGTATAGATCTGGAGGTGGGGTGTTGTATGTAACAGCCTACAAGGAGAGACTGTGCATAGTCCCACAAATAAGTGTCATCACTCTGACTACACAATAGAAGGCTCATTATCGCTTATTCCCACTCTTACCACAATGGATAGGATATTTTTGTCTTCTATTATCAATGCTTTGCACTTCAACAGAAAGATGTCGTTAACTTTGTCTCCAAGGTGCTACCATCTTATGCTCTGATGAATATCTCAGTCTTCACCCATGAGATACAATAATATTCACATCTAAGTAACATAGTAAGAAATATGCTTGAGAAGCAGCAATGCTCCTTAATAGCAGGGAGCTAGTACGGAGGTGGACTGGTGTATTTAACAGCCTACAAGGATAGTGTGCATAATCCCACTAGTAAGAGTCTGTTTTCACTATGACTTTACTCAACAGATGACTGGTTATTACTTAATCCCACTCCTACCAAATTGATGGGATATTTTTGTCTTCTCATACCACTGCTTTGCACTATGGTAGAAAAGATGTTATTAGCTTTTGTTTCCCAGGTGTTACCATCTTATCTTATGGTGAATATCCCAGGCTTTACCTATGAGATACAAGAATATTCACGTCTAAGTAAAGTAGAGTTTGAGATCAATAACAGAAGAGGAACCAAGAAAGTTATAAATGTAATCATATTGATTTTGAATAGAATATTTCAGGGGAAATAGTTAATGCATCTTACAACTTATTTTCAAATTTAAATGTATGTCTATTGTGTTGTATTTCCATATGTTATCTGTGTTTTTTCACATTTGATTTATACATATATTTTTTAAGTAACAGAAATGTTAAATTCAAAGAATGGGCATCTTTAATGCATCTCTAAATGCTTTTAAAGAGCCCTGAAAATATCCTTACTTTACTACCTCTTTTCCAAATGCACATCTCATTAGCTGTGTAGTTTGATTTATTTTTTCTGCCCATAATAAGCTGAAGGTGTATGAATTAAGATTTGTATATAATCATCTAAAGTAATAAACTAAAAGTTTTTCTGATTTGCATCTTCAGATGTTTTTGTCAGATAAAAACCATCATATAATGCCTTGCTAAATGTAGCAAATCTATGTGATTATAATCACTTCTCCTCGAAAATATTTCCTCCAGTGTTAAAAATATAAACAAACTAGAAAACTAAAACACCTATGCATTATCATTTCAATTTATAAACCTTCAACTAAAAATAGAGGAAACTCTTTCATTTATATAAATTAAAAACAAATATAATTTAATTACGCATAGCAAGTATAATTTATACATGTACTTTCAACCTAAATGATTTTATTATACTTCATGTTTAAACCCAAGAAAATTCTTTATTTTGGATTTACGGGTTTTCATTTTTAAAATTATTTCCTAAAACATTTAAAATCCTTTTGTATATTGTTATCATATCTAACATATAGCTGCAAATGACTGTCTTTTTGTTGGTTTTTGTACACACAAACAATCTGTGTTATATTGTCAGAAGAAAATATAATTAGAGGACTAAGTTTAAAGTCTATGATTTTAAGGAAATGACAATTACATAAGTATAATTTTAGAAGATGAGGCTTAAATTTGTTAAAATATTTACTTATTTTCCCTAGGACTTGTGAACACGAGTTGTCGATTACCTAATACGTACAAAATTGGTAGTTGTTAAGGCCAATCTTTCAGATTTGTTCTGAACTCAAGAAACCTATTCTTACTAGTCTTTCCCCCAGGTTCTCCCTGTTACATTAACAGGCCCACATTGCACCTTGTTGTTACATGAAGCTACCTGCTAGCCTCCTCTTAACTGCTTGTCACCAAAATCTCTATTGCTTTGAGAGCAAACTTAGGCTGGAATTTTCTTTGCTTCATTTCAAATAAAATCAGGTGGCTGGGGGACAACTTTAGATCTCTGTCTGTTACGGCCTCCTTCTCCCTAAGAAAAATCTCTAAGCCACTACTCTGGAGCTCGATGTAGAAACAGGGGCTGGTTGATTGATTTTTCTCATTTTCACTGGTTATTGTTGTTTTACTGGGAAGGGTCCTCAAGCCACAATTCCAGAAGTCATGTTTCTGAAAGATTTTCAGAAAAATAACTTTTAAATAAGTTCAGAGCTGGAGTAAAACAGAAGCATGTAAAACACAGCATGGGCAGGTTGGGCATGGTGGCTCGCACATGTAATCCCAGAACTTTGGGAGGCTGAGGTGGGCAGATCATGAGGTCAGGAGATTGAGGCCATCCTGGCTAACACGGTGAAACCCCATCTCTACTAAAAATACAAAAACTGAGCCGGACGTGGTGGCGGGCGCCTGTAGTACCAGCTATTCGGGAGGCTGAGGCAGGAAAATCTCTTGAACCCGGGAGGCAGAGGTGGCAGTGAGCTGAGATTGCACCACTGCACTCCAGCCTGGGTGACAGAGCGAGACTCTGTCTCAAAACAACAACAACAACAACAACGACAAAATAAACACAGCATGGGCAGAGTAAAGAGCATAAGCAAAGTTTCAAGAGAGATTGTACCTCCAAGCATATTTAGAGAATAGCAAATAGTCTAGTTCTGTAGAGACGTCTAAATACATAGGAGAGTATTGAAAAAGGGACTGGAAAGACTGCTGGGATCGTAGTTTCTGCTGAGGAGTCTAGAGGGATGCATATTTAATTTTGTAGGCAAGGTAATATCATTGATGACATTAACATAGTAGATTAGCAGTTTGCCAGGCAAGATTTCAATAGCTTCCATAAAAGATACATAGATTAATGTATATTATAATCAAATGTTAATTTATTTTATATATACATATATGTAATTCTGAATTCTAAGAATAACAATCGGTATAAGAAATCACCTTCTTGAAATCAGTTTCAGAATTTCAGTAAAATTAAAAGCTTGAAACGAAGAGAGTTATAAACTTACATCTCAAAGAGATCTCATCTTCATAATGTGAAATAAATTCCTTAATGAACAACATTCCTCATTTAATTTTTTCATTCTCATCAACATTATGGATGTAGTGTGTGCTCATGTGGTGTGGAGGAAGGGGTTACTTGGGTGAAAGTGCCACTCTGGGCTCAACTTAAGGAGTAGACAAGTCTGTTTCTTTACTCATCCATCTATTGAACTCAGTCTCTTTCAGTTCTCATTAGGGAAGCTTAGAAAAGAAATTGATGTCCAGACCGGACAATAAGAGTAACATCCTGCCTTACATCACGGGCTCAAAATCTGTGAACTGATACTAAATGAGGATCTGCAAAAGATATGCAGCCACTGCTCAGAAAATCATACAGAAATGAAGCATTCCCATGAATGATTTCTTCCCACAGGAAAACGTTATTAACCATCGGATACACCTAAGTATATGCAGCACAGGGTGAGTTAAATGTTCACACTATCGTGAAGAGTGATGCAGATGTTTTCACAGTAGTTATTTAATCTGTTCACACCCACTTCGACATGGACTTCTTCTGTGAGGAGTGATGACATTCCGACCGACACAAATTTAACAACTTCCATATGGAAGCATATGAAAAAAAAAAAAACAAATAAAGTGCTGGTTTGTTTGCTATACTGTCACTGTTTTCTTTCCTTAACATGGTTGCTGACAGTCAAAACTGAAAACATGCTAGGCTTCCTCAGCACCTGATATTCAGGAGTCACTGCATGTCAGAGGCAGAGATCCCGTGACAGGTGAGGAGATCGTGGCGAGGGAAATGGAAGGGTTCAAAAACATCTGAGGCCAAGGCCACTTGTCCAATGACAGAAAAATTGAGGAAAGAATGCTCAAGGTTTCACAACTCTCCTGTTATGTAGCATCGTTTAAGAATTATGCCAAATGACTGCTACATCGTAAAGGAGGAAGGGATTTTCAAAGCATGATAGGACTTATATTTCTATTATGGTAAGAAAATGCTAAAAATTCATTGCATTGTAAATTGACTGCAAAAAAAAAACATAGAGCTATCTTTACAGAAATGAGTGATTCTAGATATGTGAGGACATGAACTAGATATATGATCTTTTCATTAATGTTTACTTAGACTGCAGAGCAAGTTAACTTTTATATTTTCATTTCTTTTACAACTGAAAATTTGTGGAGATTTCTGGTAAATTCCTTTTCGGTTTCTGATTAATGACTTAAAAATAAAACAAACTTAGTAAGAGTTGTGGAGTCTGGTTTTTTATTTGTTCATTGGGGAAATGGCACATTTTGGTAGGAAAGGCAATAGAATAACCTGTATTCTAACATACATCATCAGACTTTGCCTGGTATAGATATAAACATACCTTCAAACAAAGTGATAGAAATGAAAATAGGAAGCGGCAGAATCAGAAAGATTGCAACAGAAGCTAAAATGAATTTATACAACAGAACTCATGTCCCTGAATTTATTTAAGACAGAAGATCCAATCTTTTTTTTTTTTTTTTTTTTGGCCAGGAAAAGAACTAAACCTACCTAAGATCAGTGACAGTTGTAGAATTAAAGATATTCTTTAACACCCAATTTACCCATCCAGATTATTTACTGTATTTCTACTGATGTAGAATGTACTACTTATATAGTACATAGATTTGTTTATATGTACATTAATCTTGTGAGTTAAAAAATTGCTTTTTTTTTATTTTACCATTTAAATACATAAAAAAGAGAACACTATTTGATTGTGTACATAGCCAAATTCCCTCTAGGCTTTATTTTAATGTGAATTCTTATTAATTTTGATCTATTCTCCATATTTATTGCTCATCCAAATAACTGCTAATGCATCTTTCCAATAAAATAATTTATATATTAATAGTTAATAAAAATGATACATAATTTTGTTTACATATTAATTACACAAGTCAAATATCAATTGTAATTGTTATATACAGATAGGTCAATATTTACAATAAATGTGAATCTTTTTTTTGAAAGTTACCTTTTTTGATATGTCCTAATTTTACCCAAATTTTAAAAAGTGATTTTTTTAAAAAAAGAAAGCATTTAAGATAGAGTTTACCATAGCGTAAAACATGATTAAAATTAAACTGGTGAATTACAAATTTTGAGGCCTCTTGCTTCAGGAATTAACCTATTCTCACAAGTTTATGCTGTTAAAATCTTACTCCCCATTAATCCTTTTGTGAAATTATCACAGATTTGTAATCTTACTCCTCAGTAACTGTTCCAAACATTTATTGTACTGTGTATGTCTAGAATCCGGGGTAGGTGTAATATAGTCCTCAGGCCAAATTTGGCCCACCAGCTTTTCGTATGGTCCTTAAGCTAAGAATTGTTTTTTACATTTTTAAAATAGCGGAAGTAAAAGACAAAATACTATCTATGGCCCACAATATTTATTGTGGCCCACTGAAATATGGCCCACTGAAATATTTATTGTCCGGTCCTTGATTAAAAAAAGTTTGCCCACCCCTGGTTTAGACTATATTCTGCCTTTGTCACTCGGTCATCTATCTTTTGAAGAAAAATCCGGAATATCATTTCTGAAAGTCTCTCAATTAACTCCTTGTATCTGCAAATTTCTTCAGATATTATATTTTAAACAATAAATATTTTCTTCTCCATCTTAGAATAATGATTCCATATTTATGACCTCCTTTTACTTGCATCCACTGCTGGCTAGATACGTCTCACCTTGACCAGGACTACGGGACAAGCAAGTTAAAACGACAGGGAGGTAGCCAATCTTCAGTGTTGACCAATATTTTTTAGTGTATTGTAACTTAAATATTAACAAATATAAAACCATATATAAAAACCAATTAAGAACACTGACGTGAAGTAATATATCATTATTTTAAAAATATTGATTAGCTGAACATGGTGGTGTGCATCTGTAGTCCCAGCTACTCGGGAGGCTGAGGTGGGAGAATTGCTTGAGCCCGGGAGGGGAAGTTGCAGTGAGTTGAGATCATGCCACTGCAGTCCAGCCTGGGCAACAAAGTAGGACTCTATCTCAAAAAAAATTATATATACACAAATTTTATATATAATTATATAATTTTATCATATATTTATATATTTTATATAATATACATATGTAAATATGTATATTATATACATATTTAAATAATATGTATAAATGTATATATGTATACAAATAAATATATATGTATACAAATAAAATATGTATAAAAATAATATACATATGTAAATATGTATATTATATATCAAAAATATATGTATAATATGTATAATTTTTACATAATATTTACATATTATAAATATGTAATGTACATATATTTTATTATATAATATTTATTATAGAATATAATTATGTATAATTTTATGTAATATATAAATATATATTTTATAGTAAAGGGTATGTATATAGCTTGCAAAATAATTGCAAGATTTTATATATGGTAGAGATTACTGGAGTGTGCCTCTACATTTCTGTATTATTTTCGGAATCAATTCTTCAACCCCATTTCTCTATTGAAATTTCTGTTAGCCTTTGGACAGCTTATTATGAAGTTACTTAGTTTTCGATTAGATTGCATAAAACAGTATACATTATTTATCTGTTTTATTTTTTATTTGTCTGTGATAACTGAAATATTAATTACAACTAAAGCAATAGAAAACCAATATACTAAAGTAGTTCTGAAACATGTAGCAGAATATTAAACGGTATCATTATGAGAGCTAGAATGTTTCCTATTACATGTATGTGAGTGTATCTGAATGCAGGCGCATTGTAAAATATTAAACCATATATATGTGCCAGTTTGCAAATAATTTTTAAAAATTTATTTTGTAGAAGATAAGGAAATGTTTTGATGCTGAAAATTAAAAGCTACTGAATATTGTGATTTTCTAATGAACTTATAAAACCTGCTCATTAAATATGTAAGATAACATACACTTCTAAGAGCAACGGGCAGGAAGGGCAATAAAGAGATACAAAGTTAATTAAAACGGCCAATATAAAGCCTGTGGCAAATGCAGCCAAATGGCAAACGCAGCAAAATGGAACTTGCTGAAGTTGTATCATAAGTAACTTGAACCTTTAAGTTTTTCTGGATGTGGGCACTGGGCATGTTTGGTGAAAAGCAAGATTTGATGTGCCTGGACTACTTACTCTAACTCAAAGCACCACAGGACTTAAGCTCCCACCTTCTTTTACCTTTGAATGGGAGCATCACTGCTGACATTAATTAACACATTTTATTAACTGAAAAAAGGCACATAACCTCACTCTCTTGTAAATTGATTACTGAACCCTAAAGTACTAGGATTTTTACTTAATCTAAGCTTTTGTATTCCTTTCATCAATGAATCCTATTAGTTCCTATACCAATTTATGACAGTCTCAGAAAGTCTATATTCATGAACAACACTTTGTTCATTTTATAAATATGAACAAAGAGTCATAAGTAATATGTCCATCAAAAATGTGCATGGTGATGAGAGGGAAATGCTAGCAGAAATTTTAAAATACACTTAACTTTAGAAGGAAGAAATATACTTTATATATCTAAACAAAAGCAGAAAACATCTATTTTTTTCTCACTCTTCTCCTTCACTATCTTCCTCTCTTACACACACACACAAACATGCACGCGCGTGCGCGCACACACACACAATCACATAGCATTGGAAGAATCCATCATAAAGACTGTAAGAACACAGAGCAATGGAATAATAGAGTAGTGCAATTAAGATTGATACTTGAAAAACAATTATGCAATTTCCAATAACTATCCATTTTTATGTTGCTGCTAGATTGTGAATCTTGCTAGTGATGTTTTTGCTAGTATTGTTACTAGCAAACAAAAAAGATAGTATTGTTACTATCTTTTATTAGGAAAGCTGAGATAATGAGATGAAGTACATTGAGAAAAATCGTAAAGCTGGTACATTTTGACCCATAATTCAAACACGTAAGTTTGATCCAAAATAAACACAATCTGGCTTATTGAACAGCAGAAAAACATGAACTTTTTATTTAGAAGACACTGAGAGAAAAATGTTTTTTAGGCATTAAACCTATGCATAATAACAAATAAAACTCAGTAAATTTTAAAATTGGATACTGGAAATGTGAGCCACATGAAGAAACGACTGTGCATTTGTGCAGGGTAAATCCACAACATATTCTTTTTCCTTCACATATGTTCCTTCTTGTCAGAGAACAAAATATAGGCAATATCTGCCTATTCTAATAGATGAAGGAAAGGCAAAGAAAATGCAATAAATTATTGTAAAAATATATATATTATTTTCATATATAATAGTCAATGTCAATTTAGAGGACATTCTATTATTAATCCTTATGCTAGGTTCTTTGTAAATGCTATTCATACAACAATGAAAATTTTACATTATTTAAATTATTATATAAATTAGAATTCAAATTCACATAAGCAATTGACTTAATACTGAGATATTTTGTCTCTGAAGGGCCATATAATTGATCCTTTTGATCAGTGTTTTTAGCCAGAAGTATTAAATTCTTATCTCTGCCATCTCCCTCACTTTTATAAATATTCTTTTTCTTTCTTTCATCCTCCCATTCACTTCCCCTCACATTCTCCATCTCTCTCTCCAATAAGTATTCACAAAACATCTATTTGCATACACTCCAGTACAGTACCTACGAGCCACTTATGTCTACTGAGCCCAACAAGTGTGGATTATTTAGATTGCAAGCTGTCATAAATCTAATATACACACTGCATTTCAAAGACATACAAAAAATAGAATGAATTAGAATATTAATAATTTTAACTATTCATATTCTGGATATATTGGATTAAAATATGTATTATTAAAATGATTTTCATCTGTTTTTGTTATACTTTTTAAAACATATGGATTTTAGAAAATTTAAAATTATATATATGGCTTATATTACATTTCTATAGGGCAACTTTGATCTATTTTGTAACTAGATATCATTCTAGACATCAGAAGAGAGAGTATAAAATCAATATGTGCCTGCATTCAAACAATTTACAGTCTAATGGAGAAGCTAGATATACAGAAATATGTAAGAATAATTTTTTCAAATACAAGGGAAGATAACAGAGTTTTATGAGGGTATATAGATAGAAGGATATGTAATAAATTAGGTGGCTATGGAAGTACCTCCGGGAAATTGATTTGTGGGTTTAATCCAAATGCTCAAAATCAACAAGCTTTTCAGAGAGGGGTAGCAAGTTTGTATTTCCTTGCTTCTTTTATTTCTCACTCCTTTATTTTATTTGTTCCTTTGCTTTTTCTTTAAAAATGGTTAAGGTACAGAAAATTTTTAAAATAATTTAGTAATGCAGTTGTTATACATAACACAGAGAGGTCCTGTGTACCCTTTTTCCAGGTTCCTATAACAGTAACATCTCAGTAAACTGAAGTACAATATCACAATCAAGGTATGACATTGAAATAATCAAGATAGCGAACACTTTCATCACTACAAAAATTTTTCATTTGCCCTTTTATAGCCACATTTACTTCTCTTCCTACACTCCAACTTAATTCCTGACAACTACTAGTTTGTTCTGCATTTCTGTAATTTATCATTTTAAGAGCATTATCTATCTGTCTATCTATCTCATCTATCTATGTGTCTATCTATCCATCCATCCATCCATCCATCCATCCATCCATCCATCCATCCATTTGTCAGGGACTTTAAAAATAATTGCTTAGCATAGTTCCTTGGAGATGTTTCCAGGTTGTTGCATGTATAAATAGTGCATTGCAGCAGGGTGCGGTGGCTCACGCCTGTAATCCCAGCACTTTGGGAGGCCTAGGCAGGTGGATCACAATGTCAGGAGATCGAGACTATTCTGGCCAACATGGTGAAACCCAGCCTCTGCTAAAAAAAAATAAATAAAATAAAAAATACAAAAATTAGCTGCGTGTGGTGGCATGTGCCTGTAATCCCAGCTACTCGGGAGCCTGAGGCAGAAGAATCGCTTGAACCAGGGCATAGTAAGTTGTGGTGAGCCGAGATCGCGCCAATGCACTCCAGCCTGGCGACAGAGTGAGACCCAGTCTCCAAAAAAAAAAAAAAAAAGAAAAAAATTCCATTGCTTTTTACTGTGAAATGCTACACATTGTGGCTGCCTGTGGTGGCTCACACCACTTTGGGAGGCTGAGGCGGGTGGATCACGGGTCAGGAGTTCAAGACCAGCCTGACCAACATGGTGAAACCCTGTCTCTACGAAAAATACAAAAATTAGCTGGGCGTGGTGGCGCACTCCTGTAATCCCAACTACTTGGTAGTCTGAGGAAGGAAAATTGCTTGAATCGGGAGGCAGAGTTTGCAGTGAGCTGAGATCACACCATTGCCCTCCAGCCTAGGCAACAGAGTGAGAATCTGCCTCAAAAAAAAAAAAAAAAAAAAAAATCACTCATTGCTATAAATATAGCACTTTATTTAACCGTTAACCTGTTTAAGTACACCAGACTCTTTAACAAGTTTTGCCGTTATAAGCAAACAGCTACAAACATTTGTATGAAGGTTTTTGAGTGAACCTAAGTCTTCACTCTTCTTTGATAGATGTCCAGTAATGCAATTTTTAGGCCCTCTGGTAAGTATATGTTTAATTTAAAAAACAAACAATAAACAAACCTATCAAATTGTTTTTGGGTGAGTTGTACGCTTTTGCCTTTACAACAGCAATAGAGGAGTGATCCAGTTTCTCCATATCTTCCACAGCAATTGGTAGTGTCATTTTTTTTGACATACAAATAGGTTTATTATCTCATTGTGGTCCTAATTTGAACTCTCCTAATGGCTAATTATACAGATCATCTTTCCATAAGCTTATTTGCCATCTGTTTATCCTCTTCAGAAAAATTTCTGTCTGTTCCCCATTTTAAAATTGAATTATTTTTTACTATTGAGTTTTGAGGATTCCTTACATGTTTTAGATACAAGTCTGTTACTGGATGAGTGGTTGGCAAATATATTCTCCCACTCTGTAGCTTGTCTTTCCATCCTCTTAGTATAATTTTTTACATAACAAAATATTAGATTTTGATTAAGTCCACTTTATGAATTTTTTCTTCTCCAATAATATTTTTGATGTCATCTCTGAACTCCTTGCCTACCCCTGGAACTCTGTAGATTTTGTCCCATATTAGTTTTTAAAACGTGTAGTTTTACATTTTGTATTTAAGTCCATGATCTAATTTGTGTTCATTTTTGCATTTGGTATAAGACTTATGTCTATTTTTAAAATACTTTTAATATTATAAAATATGATTTTATATTTTTAATTTTTAGTTATAGATTTTTGATGCATATTTCTATGTTTTCTTGGTATATTGACCCTTTTATTATTACCAAATTTCCCAATCTGTGTCTAGTATTTTTATTTGCACTGTGGTCTACTTCATCTGATATGATATAGCCATTCCTGTTTTCTTTTAATTAATATTTTGGTGATGTATCTTTTTCCATGATTTTATTTTTAAACTTACTATATCATATTTGAAATGAGTTTCTTATATACAGCATATAGTCGGATCATAACTCTTAATAGCCTCTGCCAATTTGTCTTTTAATTTTTGCATTTAGCCATTTACATTTAATGCATTTAATAATCTCTTAGGGCTTACGTCTTTAATTTTATTTTCTAGTTTCTGTTGGTTCTTCTCACATTTTTTGCTCTCTGCTTTCATTTTTCTGCCTTCCAGTGAGTTACTTGAAATATTTGGCATTTTGTTTTTATTTAGCTATAATAATTTTGTGTGTGTGTGTGTGTGTGTGTGTGGTCACTGTAGATATTGTATATCACAGTTTACTGGTGGGGTTATTTTACTGGTGTGAGCAAGCTATACAGACTTTATGTTAGGTTTCTTCACTATCCTCCTTTTAGAATATAATTAGCTTAACTGCATCAGACAGTGTTAACATTGTTGTTTCAAATCAGCAACCTATTGTAAGAAAAGCCTATTGTATTTATTCATTTTTTTTTCTTACCATGTTCTGTCTTCCATCTTGAGATTCCAATAGACCTTTTTTAAAAAAAAAAATAATAATAATACTCTTCCTGTTTGGAGAACTTCCTGAAGCCATTCTTTCAGGATAGGTCAAACTGGTAACTGGTGTTAAATACTTCATCTGCGGATATGTTGATTTCTCCTTTATTTCTGGAGTACTTTTATTTTTTCTGAGTATAAGATTCTGAGTTAACAGTCTTGTCATCCTCCTTGAAAAATGTTTTTCCAACTCCTTCCGGTATCCTTGGTTTTTGATGATAAATCTGTTGTCTTTCAAAATGTTTTTCCCTTATAGGTAAGTTGTCAAATTCTGGCTACCTTTCAGATATTTTTATCTTCAGACTTCAAAAACTAGACTAATATGAATCTTGATGATGTAATTTCTTGTGTGTGCGTGTGTTTTTAAATTGGTATTCTTCCAGTTTCCTATAATTGTAGGTTTATAACATTGCCAAATTTTGGAAGTTTTTAGCCATATTTTTTTTTTTTTTTTTTGAGATGGAGTCTCACTCTGTCACCCAGGCTGGAGTGCAGTGGTGTGATCTCAGCTCACTGCAAGCTCTGCCTCCCAGGTTCATGCCATTCTCCTGCCTCAGCCTCCAGAGTAGCTGGGATTACAGGAGCCTGCCACCATGCCCGGCTAATTTTTGTATTTTTAATAGAGATGGGGTTTCACCATGTTAGCCAGGATGGTCTTGATTTCCTGACCTCGTGATCTGCCCGCCTCGACCACCATAAATTTTAAAGTACTTTTTCAAGCTTACACTTTCTTTTCCCCTTCTGGTATTACAATGACAGAAAAGTTGGACCTATTGTCACAGGTTCTCAAGGCTCTGTTCATTATTTCTATTCTATTTTCTCCATGTTGTCCATATTGAGTCATTTCTCTTTTATTATCTTCCCATTCACTTGTTCTTTCCAATATCCCTTATGATTTCCTGTTCATCTTATTTATTTTTATGATTATTATTTTGATAATTATATTTTTCAGTTCAAAACTTCCTGTTTGCTTCTTCTTTATACTGCATATTTCTTTGCTGATACTTTCAAATTTTTGTTGTTTCAATTTAGGTTCATAATTGTTCACTGAAAACATTTTTATCACGATAGCTTTAATTCTAGAATCTCTGCCATCTTGGATTTTACATCTATTGGTTGTTTTTCATTTGGTTTGAGTATGACTAGTGATTTTGATTGACACTTGGACTTTTTATATAATGTTATGAGATGCTGAATTTCATTTAATGCTGTTTTAACTGGACTTCTGTGATATCATTCCTTCAGAGAAGAAAAGTAGCAAAAAACACTGATGAAAAGCAATGAGAGTTGTTGATGGGGCATGATGATTACGGAGTTTCAGAGGCCAAAAAAGAATGAGGAATTCATTGTGAAAAATAAGAAATAAAGGTTAACAATATGAAGACTGAACTATAGCCATTGACTTTGGCAACATGGAAATCAATATTTTTGTTGGAAAGAGACATTATTGTTTGAAGGTCTTTTGACAATCATGAGAGGAGATGATTTGGGGGTAACATGGGGAGTGAAAGACAAGTGAGAATGCATGCATCATATGTAGACAGCTCTCTAAATGATCATATGAAGACACCCCAGGAATAGGATCATAGCTTGAATGAAGGAAGGTGAGTTTTTAAGGTGAGTTGACTTATTTTAAAAATGATAGCATATGTGATTGTAGAAATAATTCAGTAGAGAGAGTTTAAAATGAATGAGAGAAAGTGTTTGCTGAAGGTGTCACATATGTGAGAAGATAGAAAAAAGTCTAATCTCTAGCACTGGAAGTACAAGCCTTTGGCAGGAGACAACATTTTCCCGTTTTATCAGGAGGGAATTAGGATAAAATAATATAGGAATGTATAGATATTTAATGATGGCTAGATACACAGTTTTCAAACTGCCATAATTTATTTTCTCAATGAATAATAAGATTGTTCATTTTCTGAAAGGAAGAGCAAATGAGAAAGCATATTTGTAGATGTGATAAAAATAAAAAAGGCAGGAGATAGTGCATGCAGGTAAATGAATATGAGTTTATTAAGGAAACTCAGTAAGACACTCAGACATGTTCAGGGCCTATTTTTATCTCAAAGCATTTGGGAAAAGTTATTGACTATGATTTATCAATTGTACACTATAAGCTTTTTAATTTTCTGAACTTATTTTTATTATATTGCTTTCTAGTATATCCTGACTCTTGCTTAGGAAATATGTCTAAGTCAAGGGAGAACAGAAAACATTAAATAAATTTCTTAAATATTTAAGCATAGTAACACTTTCATATATTTGGAATAGATACAAGTAACTAGAAAATATATAAATATAATTTTTTGATTAAGATTATTGTAGCATCTGATTCATGGTTTATAGACTCAGAATACAAATAATATGATAATAAATAATACAATATGCTACTTTGAACTATATTCTTAATAAACCTCTAAATATTATTTTATAAATCTTTGTGCACACAAAATCTTACTGCTTTAAAAAATCTCTTCTTACTCAGAGTAGTAATATGTAGTAAAATAAGAAAAAAAACTTTGCCTTCAATACAGGAAGTTAGTTATTTTAAGTTCTTGCTTGACCATAATATGTGTTATGTATGCAGCTTTGTGTTTTTCACGAGGTTTTCTATTCCAATAAGAATAGCTGGTGAAATTAAGGTTACTGTCCTAAATTTCAATTAGAAGCCATTGGTGTAAAGCGATTTTAAGGATCATTTACTTGACTATGGAATAAATTCCTTTTAGTTGTTAGAAATTTAATCTTATTTACTAATGATCGCATCTTGGATGGATATCACCACAGCTCTGAAAAGTGAATTTACATTGCGTGGATAAAAGGTACACAGTAGACTTTTTCATTAATTTGGTCCATAAATTTTAGATAACAAAAACTCTGTCGTTATTGTCTATTAAAATGTGATCTGTTATTTTTATTTTTATTATTTGTATTCATTTACTTAATAGTTACAAGAAAGAATTTCATTGATATTTATAAAGGACTTCAGAATTAAAAAGAAACCCTATGGCTATCTGGTCTGACCCTATCATTTTCCAAATAAAGTTCTTATGAAACATACTAATCAAAAACCATAAATTATATATGTCAAATGTCAATGTTACATGATGACAGATCCTACATTAGAACTCAGGTGTTTACATCTCTTACATTTTCCAATATACTTACTAGTTGTGCATTCTTAGAATAGAAGAGATTACAGGAAAATCAAAACACAACAGATTTTCTGCTCTACAATTAAATGCTATGTGTTGGAATTTTGAGGGTTTTATAAATAATGCCCATCTTCCTTGTCCTCTGTCTAGATTTGAAACTGAGTGATAAATAAAAGGAACAGTTAGAAATGAAAACAGCACTTCATGATAATAACAATACTTTTAAATTGTGGCTTAGGTCTGTGGATATACACAAATTACAATTATATCCCCAGTCACTAGCTAATCCCATTTGTTGAACATAATCTACAAAAACTGAAGTGTAGAATTACAGAATTGTTTTTAGTAGACAGATCACAAAGGGAATAAGGAGAGCTTGAACACTAATTCTCTGTTAATCTTACTGAATTTATCTGTCAGATAGTTTGTTTCTTTCCCATTTGCAATGGCTTGAATATGACTTTTCCCTGCCAAAACTGACATTGGAGCTTAGTCCCCAAAGTAATGGTGTTAAGAGGTGCTGAGACCTGTAAGAGGCATTTGGGGGCCAGATGTGGTGGCTCAAGCCTGTAATTTACCCAGAACTTTGAGAGGCCGAGGCGGGTGGATCACCTGAGGTCAGGAGTTCGAGACCAGCCTGACCAACATGGAGAATCCCTGTCTCTACTAAAAATACAAAATTAGCTGGGCGTGGTGGCACACGTCCGTAGTCCCAGCTACTTGGGAGGCTGAGGCAGGAATATCGCTTGAACCTGGGAGGCGGAGGTTGCAGTGAGCCGAAATCATGCCATTGTACTCCAGCCTGGGCAACAAGAGCAAAACTGTCTCAAAAAAAAAAAAAAAAAAAAAAAGAGGCATTTAGGTCATGAGGGATGCTCCATGATGAAGGGGATAGTGCCATCTTCTGGGAGTGTGTGAGTTCTCGAGCTTATGGAACTGGCTTAGATACCACAAGATTGGGTTAGAAAACACAGTTGCCCCTTGTGTTTTGTCTGTTTGCATGCACTCCTTCCAAGTGATGCCATCCACCATGTTAGGATGCAGCATGGGGCCCTCACCAGATGCATCTGCCTGATCTTGGACTTACTAGCTTCAGGAACCCTGTGCCAAATAAACCTTTATTTTATAAATTACCCAGTCTCAGGTATTTTGTTATAACAGAAACAGACTAAGATGCCTAACGGAGGTCAGTGAGGAGGTAGGACAATGACCAGGACAATATTCTAATGGAAGTACCTTTCCATGCAAAAGTGAAGAATAGAGAAGAAATATTCCAAACGTACCAGATATTGTGTGTGGGGTGTTGGGTGTTGGGGTGATGGTGGGGGAGGTCTCGTTACTTGAGTCTCCTTAAATTCCAACAGTATTGTGCTAGGCATGATGTGGTTGTGGTGAGTATTTTAGAAGTGCAATTCCTATACATTCTGAACAACTATTAGACTGGGGACTTAAGGAAATAATCTCATCACATACATAAACATACACATACACACGCACACACACACAAACACACACACAAAATCTCATTCATTTTCTATCTTCACCAAACATGGGATTTATTTTAGACATGATAGAAATTAGGCCATGGTTAATAATCTGCCAATACCAACTAATAATTTGTTAAGTAATATACAATCAGCAATATTTCACAACCAAGTAACTAATATTATTATTTTAAGTTGAAAAATATTTTGAAAACCTATATTATGGATGATATTAAAATACATTATAAAAATAAAATTTGGGACAAAATTATGCTTTATTACTTGAATAATGTATATTCTAAAAGATTCTCTCAATCATTGATAATTTTGTTTAAATGATTATTTAACTCTCAAAATATGTCCCTTTGTCTTTATAAAAATAATTAAAGAATCTGTTACCAGAATTTGGTCTGTTCCTTGAACTTCCAGATATGTTTACTTTCCATGATCTGTCACCCAGAGTAACCATGGTGCAATTCATGCACTTCATAAGTCTTTGGACTATTTTTTTACATAATGTTATGAATATCATAGCATTCTAAATATGATTTTGATAGTATGTTCATGAATAGGTTTCTCCTAAAAATAATGACTGAAGAGTCAAATAATGACATTTAATATAGAATTTTATGATTTGATTCCACATATATCATTTAGAATTTAAAAAAACATGCTATTATGAATATCTCTTTAATTTCCCATATTCAATTAATCACAATATTTTACAAATTACTAGTGCATTTTCTCCTTCCATTTCTCACAGCCACCATTTTTGTCCTGGTCTTCATTTTCTGGATTAATACTATATGACCTAACAGAATTTCTGCCTGTGTTGTTTCCACTCTCCAATCTACCACACTTCTGCCAGTGTAATTTTTTTTTTTTGAAGTCTGGTATGATTAAGTTATGTCTATAGTCAAAAATCTTCAAAGACTTGAAATAACTTTCATCATAACTCTTGCCCTCAGCTTCACACATAAGTTCCTTTAAGATCTGATCTCATTTTACCTGTTTAGACATTCTTGTCATACTTTGACACAGTACTTTAAATCTCTGTATTGCACTGTTTGCAGTCCTTCTTCCTGAAAAAGTCTTTTGATCGGTTCATGCCCCATCTTTGATTCCTGTTGAAATGCTTATCGTTCCTTAGTAATTAATGTAAGCATACCACTGGCTGAAAAATGTGGTTGGGTCTTTCCAGCACATTTCAGTTTAATTTATATTTTTCCTCTTTTGTTCTTTTTTTTTTCTTCCACAGTACTTCCTTCACCACCGGCTAAATTACTACTTTTCATTCTGGAAGTTGAGTTCACTTGTTTGTCTCCTTTCTCTATGTTTAACCTTTCAAAGTACATGGCTCAGGAAAAGTTTATGTTTGTATTCTTAGTACATAGTTGCTGTGTCTGGCATATATGTAGATAACCTTCTGTTTCCCTATTTACTCTAATTAAGAAAACTAATATATGTCGATTTTCATAAGTCTGTTTATATTGGGTTTGTCATACTACACAATTCACTCTATTATTCTTTTTACTCCATAGAATTTTTGAACATAAAAATATTGCTTTTCTATTATTTAAATAAGAATTAGTGTGTATATTCAATAATTTCAAAGTATTGTTATAAAAAAGTGACAAAATACTGATGAATTTCATAAAGAAAAGCTTTTACATTGTTCCTAAACTTTCCATTTTGTTTCCATTTATAACTTGCATAATATATCTCTTTTTCATTCTAGGTATATCCAAGGATGTGAAGTAGGAAATTCGATATTTTTCTTATTAAATATTTATTAGGAAATTTATGATTTATGAATCTTATCCATTTATACAAGAACTGGCTGAAGTTAAAAAGACAAAATTAAAATTATAAAAACATCATCTATCTAAAAATACCATGTTCAAAGTATATGTTAAATGCAACAAATATATCAGCACTGGCAGGATAGATAGAGATGCAGGTGTATTGACAAGGTGTTTTCTTAAAATACCTCTCTTGAAATTGTGACTTTGCATTTAACTAAACTATTATTATTTTTTAAAATAGTGTTAGCTAATTTTATTGAAGACTTATTAAATAACAGAATCATTTCCAAGCATTTTTAAAAATTTACTGTTACAAAAATTTCACTTGGTAAATATGTTATACACATTTTGCCGACAGAAAAACTGAGGCTGGGGGCAGTTAAACAATGAGTACATATGATACGTCTTATAAGTAGAAGATTCAAAAGTTGAGCCAAGGTATGTCTGATTCCATATCCTGACTCCACAGAAAGCTCTAGATCAGAAGCCATTTAATATAATTGCCTCCGACATTTTTGTTGTCTAATACATAGTTGCCTCCTAGCCATATGCCACTTGATATGTGGCTAATGTGAACAAGCAACTGAATTTTCACCTTATTTAATTTTTTAAAAAATTAAGCCTGAATTTGAATATCTATTTGTTAGTGGCTACCATCCTAGACATTGTTCAGCTTCACTCAAATGATCCACTGCAATTGATACAGGAGCTTTTCTGGGGACATAATGTTACAGATTAGCTTTCTATGTTCTTTCTGGTGAATGCTATCAACATTCTCAAGCAGACAGACTCATCTGTTGGATAATTGAAGAATATGAGGTTATTTGGCAAAGGGTGCTAATCCTAATCTTGCTATTCTCCTTTGGTTGTTGTTTACCAGAGAACACACAGTATTGGGATTCCTTACTGATGCCAAGTTTACTTTGGGTGTTGAGAATATGTTAAGTAAAGTGAGGTTGCTGGTATTTTGGCTTTCTATTGATGGAAATCAAGCTAGTCAAAAATGGACTAACGTCTGGGCTGGGCGCTGTGGCTCATGTCTGTAGTCCCAGCACTTTTGGAGGCTGAGGTGGGTGGATAACCAGAGGTCAGGAGTTCGAGATCAGCCAGGCCAACATGGTGATAGCCTGTCTCTACTGAAAATACAAAAATTAGCTGGGCGTGGTGGCAGGTGCCTGTAATCCCAGCTACTCGGGAGGCTGAGGCAGGAGAACCTCTTGAACCCATGATGGGGAGGTTGCAGTGAGACAAGATTGCACCATTGCACTCCAGCCTGGGCAACAAGAGCAAAACTCTGAAAACAAATGAACAAACAAACAAACAAACATACAAAAAACCTAACATTCAACATTTATACTTCAGTAACAAACATGAAAAATGAATAGTAGGCCGGGCACGGTGGCTCACACCTGTAATCTTAGCACTTTGGGAGGCCAAGGCGGGCAGATCACTTGAGGTTAGGAGTTCCAGACCAGCCTGGCCAACATAGTGAAACCCCATCTCTACTAAAAATACAAAAGATAGCTGGGCATTGTGTCACCTGCCTGTAATACCTGTAATCCCAGCTACGCAGGAGGCTGAGTCAGGAGAATCGTTTGAACCCCAGAGGTGAAGGTTGCCAAGATTGTGCCACTGCACTCCAGCCTGGGCGACAGAGTGAGACTCCAAAAAAAAAAAAAAAAAAAAAAAAGGGGTTGTGCTTTTCCTCTAAGGTACATCTGACTGTACTTGCATCACTTTTCTTGAATGTTTTCAGACCTCCAGTTGGTGATAGTGGAAATATAACAATTCTAAAATGTCCTTACTTCTTTCATTCATACTTGAAAGATTAAAGCAGGTCTCCTCAACCCCCAGCATAAAGCATTTTACCTCTAAAGAGTTAAACCTAAAAATGTATAAATATAAGTAAATAAAGTGATTGTTACCTATGTGAAAATGTTTTGGATTATAAATTGAGAACAACTCATTCAGAATGACATCAGTATAGAAACTTTAATCACATTCTACTGTCTCCTAAAAATACTGAAGATGGCAGGAGAAATACACACGAAAAAAAAAAAAATAGACCATAAACTAAAATAAGAAACTGGGAAAAAGCCCTAGTAACCTCAATGTATACTAAACAGGATTAATAAAAGACACACCAACACAAAATAAAATAATTACCATATTTTGTCTAATGCTATTATGATGTCAAAACTCAAAAACGTGGATCAGAGAAAAGTCAGAAAAACATCTCATATCTTTCCAACTGAATCTGTGTACTCAAAGACAGGTTTTATATTAGAAAATTGAACCTAGTTCCTCTCAAAATATCACCCAACATTCAAAAGAGAAAAAGAGTAAAGGAAATAGGGAGATAGCCATGTTAGCTGTGACTTCTATACAGGAAGATGTAATCGCTATGAAAAATAGAGGCAGTAATGAGCAAAGAAAGGGAAAATCTTTCAGCAGAACGTGCTGTAGATTTTTTGTTCATGTTTGTCTTCAGTTCAAACTGCTGGATAATAATACAGTGGGAGTCTAATAAGCCATTAACTTTTTTTTTTCCCCCAAGGACAGCACACTGGGTAACGTTCTCTGGAAGGTGGGAGTTTAAATGAAGTATTAGACATCAATCTGATCTCTGCCTCAACTGGGACCCTAAAATACAAACCATATGGAGCAGCAGGGCAGGGTAATTCATTTCAGCAAGTCATTAGACAAACCTAGAAGTCTGAATGATATTAAACGTGGTAAATGTTGGTTAAAAAAAATCAAACATAAGACATAATGCTGGTTGAATCCAACACATTTCAAAGGAAAGGCAAATAAAGGAAGGACAGAAACATGAAGATAAACAAAAGTAAAGCAGAAATCTAAAAAGATTTATTGACCGATACGTAAGAGAATTCCACAAATTTTTAGCATCAACTAGAGTTTGAGAAACAATTTGTCCCTATGAAACAGGAGCATATAGCCATAAGAACAAAGTTTAGATAACGAAATAGGAAAATATGAAAGTGCAATTTAAAATAAAATTAAAATTAAGTGGAAATGGATGAGGTATGGCAGATTTCTAATGAAACTAAATGTGTTGTATAACATTGATTCAGTGAAATAGACAACAGATTTAATTATTCAAAGGGAAATACAAAAGCATAAAGAACCTTACATTGAAGATATTAAAAAAGATAATAGATAATAAAAAACAAAGAACCCTAAATTTGTTTTCTTGAAAAATTGCAGACAGTACAAGTTGAGCAAAAGCAATAATTTCATTAAAGATAAAATTTCTATTTGGAAGAAAGACCAATGTGTATGTAGATGGAAAGCAACTGCCACATTCTTGGCAAAATATAATTTTTCTAAATTGAGCTTATATGGTTTTAAGAAAGTATATTGAAAACAATAATATTTCTATTTGTTAATAAAAGTTTTACTTTGAAATGTATTGAAGTTTCTTATATTGGAATATATATGATTCCCACAGCAAAAAAAAATCTAGTATTTTTTGAATATTTCAAATATTCAAACTTAAGTACTCTGTGGATATAGAGGGTACGAGGGGCCAAGATGGCTGATGAGAAGCAGCTGCGGTCTGTGCCACTAACAGAGAGGAATGAAAGCAGCGAGTGAATTCAGCACCTTAGACTGAAATATCCAGGTTCTCACACTGGGACTGACTAGGCAGACAACTCAACACATGGAGAACAACAAAAAGCAGGATGGGCTGACAGCCCAGCTAGGAGTGGCATGGAGCTAAAGAACTCCCACCCCTAGCCAAGGGAAGTGGTGATTGATTGTGCGACCCTGCCCGGGAAACCACACTTCTCCCACGGATCCTTGCAACCCATGGACCAGGAGATCCTCTTGTGAGCCCACGCCACCAGGGCCTTGGGTCTGACATGCAGAGCCGTGTGGAGTCTCAGCAGAGCAGCCACTTAGGCACACACAGAGACTCAGGAGTTTTACACATTCTGGCCCCAGGATCCCCAGCAGGGCCAGAGGTCTGTCTGTACATTTCCCTAGGAAGGTGGCTGAATCCAGAGAGCCAAGCAGCATTGTTCTGTGGGACCCATTTCCATAGCACCTCAAAAGGTAAGATCCACTGGCTTGGAACTCCAGCCAGCCAACACAACTGGCTGAGTCTGTCTGAGACGGGAGGGCATTCCCCGGGGGGAAGGGGTGGCCGCCATTTCTGTGGTTGGGTCAACTCAGCATTCCAGGTCTGCTGGCTCTGGAGAGTCCAGGTGGTTCGGATGAGTCGGATGAGGTGGGGTGTCCCCCCAATGCAGCACACCTGCTTTGCCAGATTATGGCCAGAATTTTTTTTTTTTTTTTTTTTTTTTTTTTTTTTTGGAGGCAGAGTCTTACTCTGTCCCCAGGCTGGAGTGCAGTGGCGCGATCTCGGCTCACTGCAACCTCCGCCTCCCCAGTTCAAGCAGTTCTCCTGCCTCAGCCTCCCAAGTAGCTAGGACTGCAGGCGCCCGTCGCCACACCTGTCTAATTTTTTTTTTTTTTTTTTTTTTTTTGGTATTTTACTAGAAACGGAGTTTCACCGTGTTGCCCAGGCTGGACTGGAACTCCTGAGCTCAGCCAATTCGACTGCCTCGGCCTCCCAAAGTGCTAGGATTACAGGCGTGAGCCACCACGCCCAGCCCATACTGCTTATTTTTAAACAGGACCTTGATACATTCTTCCTCACTGGGCAGGACCTCCCAGCGGGGGAACTTCAGTCACTCCAGCCAGGCTTACATGGGCAGAATTCTGATCTCTCCCCTAGGATGGAGCTCCTGAGGGAGAGTGGTGGCCACCATCTCTGAAGTTTGTCAACTCAGCTGTTCCAGCCTGCCAGCTCTGGAGAGTCTGGGTGGTCCAAATGAAGAAGGGTCCCCACCAATGCAGCACACCTGCCCTACCATAAAGTAGCCAGACTGCTTCGGTAAGCAGGTCCCTGATCCCGTTCCTCCTGACTGGGCGAGAACTCCGGAAAGGGGTCTAAAGATACTTCCTATAGAAGTGTCTGGGCCGGCACCATGTCAGTACTTGCCTGGGATGGAGCTTCTAGAGGAAGGAGCAGGCCACCATCTTTACTGTTTCACAGCCTTCATTGGTGATACCTGCAGGTATGGGAAAAAAACAAGGCAACTAGAGCCTGGAGCAGACCCTCAGCACATCACAGCAGCCCTGTGGTTGCTAACAGTCAGTGGCCTAAATGTTAAAAGAAAAGCAAACAGAAAACAATAACATGAACAAAAAAGACCCCATAAAATCACAATTCAAAGGTCAGCAACCTCAAAGATGAGAAAGAAAACAACGCAAAAATGCTGAAAACTCGAAAAGCCAGAGAGCCTCTTCTTCCCCAAATGATGGCAACACCTCTCCAGCAAGCGCACAGAAATGGGCTGAGGCTGAGATGGCTAAATTGACAGAAGTAGGCTTCTGATGGGGAGTAATAACTAACTTTGCTGAGCTAAGGGAGCATGTTGCAACCCAATGCAAAGAAGCTAAGAATCATGATAAAACAATACAGGAGATGGTATGCAGAATAAGCAGTTTAGAGAGGAACATAACTGACCCGGATGGAGCTGAAAACACATGAGAACTTCACCATGTAATCACAAGTACAAATAGAAGAATGGACCAAGTGGAGGAAAGAATATCAGAGCCTGTAGACTATCTTTCTGAATGAAGACAGGCAGACAAGAATAGAAAAAAAATGAGTGAAAAGGAATGCACAAAACCTCCAAAAATTATGGAATTATGTAAAAAGATTGAACCTATGACTGACTGAAGTACCTGAAAGAGATGTGAGAATGGAAATAAGTTGGAAAACATACTTCAGGATATCATCCAGCAGAACTTCCTCACCCCAGCAAGACAGGCTAACATTCAAATTCAGGAAATGCAGAAAAGATATTTCCTAGTAAGTATCTTACTAAAGATACTCCCCAATAAGATACTCCACAAGAAAATCAACTGAAGATACATAATCATCGGATCCTTCAAAGTTGAAATGAAAGGAAAAATGTTAAGGGTAGCCAGAGAGAAAGGCCAGGTAACCTACAAAGAAGCCTATCAGACTAACAGTGAACCTCTCAGTGGAAACCCTGTAAGCCAGAAGAGATTGGCAGCTAATATTCAACATTCTTAAAGAAAATAATTTCCAACCCAGAATTGCATATCTGGCCAAACTAAGCTTCATAAGAGAAAGATAACTAAGATTCTTTTCAGACAAGCAAATGTTGAGGGAATTCATCACCACTAGGCCTGTCTTGCAAGAGATTTTGAAAGAAGCACTAAATATTGAAAGGGAAAACTGTTACCAGCCACTACAAAAACATGCTGAAGTACACAGACGAGTGACACTATGAAGCAACCACATAAACAAGTCTGCAAAATAACCAGTTAGCATCATGACGGCAGGATCTAATTCACACACATCCATACTAACCTTAAATGTAAATGGGCTAAATGCCCCAATTAAAAGACACAGAATGGCAAGCTGGATGAAGAGCCAAGACCCACTGGCCTTTTCTCTTCAAGAGACCCCTCTCACGTGCAAAGACACACATAGACTCAGAATAAAGGGATAGAAGAAAATTTGCCAAGCAAATGGAAAACAGAAAAAAGCAGGGGTTACAATCCTAGTTTCTGACAAAACAGACTTTAAACCAATAAAGATCAAAAAAGACAAAGAAGGGGATTCCATCATGGCAAAGGGTTCAATTCAACAGAAGATCTTACTATCCTAAATACATATCGTAATCAGTCAGAAGATCACCTCACTTCTGCCAAGGAGTTTAGCAGAGCTCCCCAGTGGAGAGAGGTCTCTAAGGAATGTATAAAATTTCTTCAATCTTTAATGAACGTTTGATTATTTCTCCAAATGTCTCCCTGTTCTTGCACCTTTTTATAAGTCTATGGTGGCCAGCAAAACTATTTTTTACTATTTGTATTTTTCTTTATGCCTAATTCCTATTTCTATTTTTACTTTTTTTCCATGAGCTTAAGAAGGAAGAAACCCTTTAACACCCCAACCTCTGGCTTCAAGCCCTCATTCCCCTCTTACAAGGAACAAAATGGTAAACTTTTACAGCACTGAATTCCCAACAGCAAATGACTAGTTCAGAACCCAGAGCAATTTTAGTTTAGTTTTCATGTGTGGCAGAGGGAAAGACTGAATACCCAACGGCTGGCTACAAGAGAGGAAGGAAAGAAATAAAAAGATCAGGACATGAATGGATTTCAAATGTACTGCCTTACTTGTCCTAAAATGATACTATTTTTTAAAAGGCTCCTGAGTCATACAATTTAAGGGTAAGGCTGTGCTTTGCATATTTTATCTATGGCTATGTTTTCGAGACTAGAGTTACTGAGCATGGCGGCTCATGCCTGTAGTCCCAACATTTTGGGAGGCTGAAGAAGGAGGATCACTTGAGCCCAGGGGTTTGAGACCAGCCTGGGTAACAGGCAACATAGCAAGACACTGTCTCTAAATAATAATAATAATAATAATAATAATAATAATAGGAAGAAGAAGAAGAAGGAGAAGAAGAAGAAGCTAGCCAGGTATGGTGGCTTGTGCCTGTAGTCCTAGCTACTAGAGAGGCTGAGGTGGGAGGACTGCTTGAGCCTGGGAGGTCAAAGCCACAGTGAGCCATGACAATGCAATTGCACCCCAGCCTAGGTGACAGAGCAAGAGAGTGAGACTATGCCTCAAAAAAAAGAGTCACCACTCATCATCTTTGTAAATAACTGTATGGTGATGAATAACGACATACTAATGATGTATGTAAAATTTAGTGGCTCTATTTTTTTTCAGAAATTATGCCTTATTCTGTATAATTCAGTCTATTTCTCACAATTCCTGTTCTCATCTTTCTATCACGGTATTCTCTTGACTGGCTTCATCCTTTTACTTCTCTTTTATGACTTCTGGCTTCTCTTCTGATGTTCCTGAGCAGTACGTTATTTTGAAGGGTGTGCCTGTATCAGTGCTTGGTGTTGAGCCAGTTCACTAAATCCAAAAGGGTAAAACACCAAGGTGTTAAGTTAGGTAAATTACATTCTAAGGGAACTGATGCATACATGAACAAAGCTCAACTAGGGCTGTTGTTTTGTTTTCTGCTTTTTTCTAGTTGTGTTTTGTTTTTCTGGATGGGATATTCTAAGTTAAAAGTTTCAATAAAAAGTAGATAATACCTGAGCAAATCTCCACTTCTCAGCCTGAATTTTTATACATATTGTTGTTTTTAGATGATAAAATATGATACATTTCATCTTCAAAAGTATTTTTTCTCTCTAAAGGAATTCATTTTGCTAAGGTTGCATATACTCATGTCTGAAAAGGTGGTTTATTGGACTTAGATTGTATGTTTCAATAGGAAATATGGAAGTACAAATACTTTGGTTTAAAAAACTTTCTTAAACTCTGTGATTTTCACTTATTGTTGCCTTTGTGTCTGCCAATCCTGACAGAGGAGCAGCACAGTCACCTTTGTGCTAGCAATGCATTAGAGGAGAGGTCCCGAAGATGCTTTGTCATTACGTAACAGTACACAATCCAGGAGACAATCCGTTCTCCATGAAAAAGGGGATGCTATTGGAAGTAGTAAATCTCAGTGTCCTGTGATTCCAAAGAAATGAGTATCTGCTCCTCTTTTCAGGTTGCAGCTTTTCAGATAGAATGGATTTTAGCCTGAGCATTAAAATTAATAACTGTCTTGGGAGGCCAAGGAGGGCAGATCACCTGAGGTCAGGAGACCAGCCTGGCCAACACGGTGAAACCCCGTCTCTGCTAAAAATACAAAAATTAGCTGGCTGTGGTAGTGGGCAACTGTAATCCCAGCTACTTGGGAGGCTGAGGCAGGAGGATCACTTGAACCCAGGAGACGGAGGTTGCAAAGAGCTGAGAGTGTGCCACTGCACTCCAGCTGGGGCGACAAGAGCGAGACTGTCTCAAAAAAAAAAAAAATTAATAACTATCGTTTGATTGTTGTTCCACCTATGCCTGGTAGCTTTCAAATAATTATCATGAAGATAATCTTTATTTTCCTTCTTTTGCAGATAGTATTTTCATATGCTACAATATTACTACTATATATTATGTAATAATAATTACTACTCATATTAGCTAATAACACCTATATTTTGGAATGATTCAGGCTCCTTCTCAGGAATTACCTCATTTAAATCTTAATAATATATCAGTGAATTTCTCATCCCCAATTTTAAATATGGAAATGGGCTCGGGAAGACCAAATAACATATTTTAGCACCAAAATGCTAGTTTGTGATCAAGCCCAGACGTAAGTGTAGGTTGTCTGCATTAAGAGCTTTTGTTATTTATCAGTAGTCCTGTTGTTTCTTATATATAAAATGCAAATCTTTGAGTTAAAAAAAAATTGTTAGTGCCAATTGTAAGACACTCTATTTTGATGCTTTGTCCTTATGTGAACCTAAACTATGTATATATATAGAGAAGAACGAGGGTATCTAACAGTGACTGAGCACTCCCTGTGTGGGAAAAACTTCCTAGTTACTTTTGCATACATCACCTCAATTCTTTTTTTCACAACAAACTTTGGAGTTACATATTACCATCTATTTTTACTTATGAGAAAACCAAAGCACACAGAGGTTAATAGAAAATTTTATCTTTCAAAAAGCCTGTGATGCTCATCTGCAAAGGATGGTGAATAACTTCTTATTTAGTGGAAAGACACAAGAAGGGGATTTCCTTGAAAAAGAAGTTAAAAATGTTATCAAAAGCAGTCTTGTATTAGGGAATTTTATTATTCAACACTCTGACTCCTCCTCAATAGCATAATGTTGATTGCAATTCATTCTAGGTTTCTGATATATTCTGCTTATCCATACATTTTTGTTTTTTGTTACTGTTAATGCATTCTATAAATATGTAAATATTATTTATTTATTTATTGTTGAGGTGGAGTCTCACTCTGTTGCCCAGGCTGGAGTGCAATGGTGCGATCTCAGCTCACTGCAACTTCCACCTTCTGTGTTCAAGCGATTCTCCTGACTCAGCTCCCTGAATAGCTGGGATTGGTGGTGCCTGCCACCATGCCTGGCTAATTTTGTATTTCAGTAGAGACAGGGTTTTACCATGTTGGCCAGGCTGGTCTCGAACTCCTGACCTAAGATGATCCACCCGCCTCGGCGTCCCAAAAATATCCTTTAATAATGGTACTTTTTCTGCATCTATACCCATGTTCATCAAGATTTTATTTCTAGTTCTTATGTTATATGACACCACCTGTTTTATGTCAGATTAAGGCAGATTCTGAAATCTGGCAATAGTTAGCAAAATGAAGCAATAATTTGTTATTACACTTAAAATATTAATAGATGAGTTTTAATCAATTAATTTTATTAATAATTAAGCTATGTCTTCAATAAATAGACTATAGTTATTTTCAAACTTATTTACTTTTTACAGGAAGTATTATTTTCCCAGATCTGTGTCTTAATTCTTATACATATATTGACAATATTTAGCCTTATACATTTTTGCTGTAAGCTGTTCTAAAATGTTGTGACAGCAGAGATATACACACATTCAAATATGTGTAGACATGTATCTGTATCCATGCCTTTGCCACACTTAAAAGTGGATTCGTCTCTTTAATTCTTTTCTTAAATTCTTGCTTCTTCAGGAAAGTGCTACTATAATAGCTAAGTATTAGAAAATGTGCATATTTAAAAATAATAAAAAAAATCAATGATTACCATGTTGAATTTCAAAATGTACAAGGCATGGCATCAAATGTCTAAAAATAAAAAAATTAATGTTGTGGATCTGAATCTCCACTTTTATTTTTTAACTTGAAGTTGCATATAACTCTTCTGCTTATTCATATACTGTGACTCCAAAATGTGTTTGGTCTAACTAACAAGTAGCCTACAATTGATGATAATAATAAAAAATAAATAAAAAGACATGGACATTTGAAAGTGTAAGTTGATTGCAATCAACATTTTGCAACTGAGGAAGAGTCAGAGCTTTAATAATAAAACTCCCTAGTGAAAAACTGCTTTTGATAAAATCTTTACATTGTTTTATTTTACATTCCTTGTGCAATGAAGAAAAAATACAGTGTTAAGATTGCTTATAGGTTTAGACTCATGAATAATAAAATGAACTGATGTATTTTGTTGAAGACTTGAAAGAAATTAACAATTTCTTTTTAATTAATATATCGTTGTCTGTCTGGGTTCTAATGTGTAGTTAATTCATGCCTAGTAAAACTATTTAACAACTCTCCCATAATTTTTCAGTTTATTCAAAGTTACCAATTGTAAAAGTAAAATTATTGATTTACATATGTCTCCCTTTCTCACTCTCTTTCTCTGTCTCATTCCCTCAATAACTAATATGACAGGCTTCATACACTGTTTTAACGACTGAGTCATATATGATGAAACAAATAATTAGTAAAGTTTTTCTGTTGGGTCTAGTAGCTCTGCCTTATCAAGCTATGATATGCATTACATCAATTAAGCCTTATTTGATCTAATAATGAGATAATCAAATGATAAATAAAATGATTTATCTTTTGTATAAAATGGCAGAAGTAGGTTCCTCCACCATGTGTAACCTCCATTCTCAGATTCACTTCAGGGTCCACGATAACTACTCCAATTCCAGATTCCCTTATCAATATCCCAAACAGGAGGAGGAATAGGGAGGAGAAAGTCACATACTTTCCTTTTATTGGCAACTCCTGGAAGTTGCAGTCCCCACTTTTGTTTATATTCCATTGGCCAGCATCACACTAAGATTGAACAGTGTCTGTAGAGGGGATGAAGCATTGTGCATGACTGCATTCTGAACTAAGCATTGGAATTTCGAATTCTTTATAATAATATGAGACAGATTTTCATTGACTCATCCTATTTCTGCCAGAAAACCAAACTAATTAATAAATACTAGTAAAGAAAATTGTTACTAGAGTTTTAGTTAGTGCTAATTCTAAGGCTATAACAGCCAGGAATTTGTTTTATATGATTAGCTACAAGATATTTTCTAGATATGTGGTTAATTATGACACAAGGTTGAAAAAAAGCCTTGCTTAAAAATTACTAGCTACTTCATTAAACTAGAGCATTATATCTGGCAATCTTAACATTGTCATTTAAATTTGTACATTTCAATAGTGAAGTTTTTAAAGTCATAAATGTCATTACATTTTACATTTACACAATTTCCAAGTTGTGTAAATATTTATTTATTAAAGTGACTCTTCACCAATAACTTAATCTCCTGAGAAGATGGTTATATTTACTGTGATCTTATAAAAACCCCACAAAGCAATATAATTGCCATCCAGATGGAATAATAAAAATAATTTAAGGATTCATCACATTTTCCCACTAAATTTTCTGCTTTATCTGTAGTTAGTCTTGATTTTACTGTGCACTAGGCGTCAAAATGACTAATGCAAACAGATGTAACAAATGGCAGCTCAATGCACAAGCATGGGGAATTAGAGTTGCAATGCCTGGCCTAATCATTTCACATGCGGATTAACCTCAGAATAAAAATGGGTTTGTTACTATATATTAATGGATTATTTTAAAAATATATTATTTTTCTGTGTAAATTTTCACTAGCTATTCAGAACAGTAACTTATTTTTATCACATCGTTTTCTAGAATAAATAAAAGAACATGAGAAAAATAATGAAAAATGAAAAAAAATCCTTGGTTTAATTCTCTCATAGATTAACTATGCACAAGATGAATCTCCTTATAATATTAATTATGTATCATAAACACTAATAATTGTTAATAAAATATCACTAATCCTGATCTCTCCTGTGCTAAGTTATACCTGGTTGTCATTACTGAGACACTTTACTTCCAGCCTCTGTATAGTACAATTTCTGTGCTGATCCTGTCTGAGACAGGTTTTTACTTTAGAAATTTTATCACTGCAAATTCAAAAAGCCTACAGCTTAGCCTTGCTGTTACTCTGTGCTCCACCTTTGGAATAAGCATTAGTTCCCATATGACTAATGATTAGCAGCCTGCAGTGGATGCCTATTTAACACAATCCATATACACCTCCTTTATCTTGGCACATGGTCCTATTAACAGTTATTTTTGGACTTGCTATGAAATAACATGTATTATATTAAATTTCCAGGCCAAGACCCAAGAAGCTTTGCCTCCTCCATGTTTTCTGTTCTTATTTTACATGTGCATTGAACAGATAAATACCAGTACAACGTCAAAGTTGTTGGCAGAGACATTGGACAGAAAGAGCCTCAGTACCTGAACTACCCATGGAAAAGACTAACCAACCACCCTGTAACAGGATTATCAATAGAGTGGAAATGTACTTCACTATGCCTAGTGTTTATACTATCTCATTCTGTTTGTTACTGCAATCTAATCTACTCTCCCTAGTACATAGCCAAATTCATTCTCTTTAAGGTTAACCTTTTATTTCAACATTCTTTTTGAATACTCCAAATGCATTTGGTTCATTCCAAATGGACCAAAGTGTGTTTTTCTGAGAACAGAGATGACGTGATTAAAATAAATTAAAAATAAATATTTCTAGTGTAAAGACATAAAAATATAGGATTAATTAATGAATATTTATCTTTTAACTACTTGCATTAACATATAAACATAACATGTTAATGGTTTGAATGTTTTCCTACACATTTAAGGGCTTTAAAAAAACTAATAAATTTTTAACGAAGTTAAAATATGTGCAGCACCATAGCAAGTATTTAGAAATTTTTGTCTTGCTAATTTTTAAATCATCACTGAATTAAAATAAGTAAAATATTTATAAAAATACAACTATTTTTAGTATAGATTAGGGGAAAATTTTTAGAATTTGTTTTCAATATAATATTCAAAAAATGAATTATCTGCATACAGAATAAGGGTCTCTTCTTGAAATTTCCCCTTTCTTGTCACTTATAGATTGATATTTTATAGAACATATCATTTTTGTAATAATGGTTGTCTCATCGGTAACATTGTATTTGGTTCTATCTTTTCCTAAAATATATTGAGAAGTTGACAAGCAATTAAGATCAGAAAATTGGAAATAAGTTATATCATGAGTGATTTCTTCTTATCAAAACATATATTGAAATGGTAGTCACCAAAAGGTAAAGAAAACTCAGAATAAATTGGGTGCAGATTGCAATGCTGTACTTGGTGCATTTGTTTTTCTCAGTAAAATGTTTCAAACTGTAAGGTATATTAAATTAGTAACTGCACTTCTTTCTGTACTAACTTGTACTTAGAAATCTATTCAATCATGGTATCTATTTGCATTTGACTAACCCATAAAATTAATCTATAACTAAGAACCCTTTTATACATTGCAAGTGAAAGTCTTTCTGTTATTTACACGACTTGTTTTAACGTATGGGTGGTGTAGAAAAGTCTGACTCCATTTCTGATGTCTGCCGACAGATTTAGAGCCTCTGTCCCTGTTCCCCCTCTTCCTCGCATTTGGGACAGTCAGTAAGTCTGTTGCTCTTTCCTTTGACACCAGCAGGAAGTTCAACCCACATAAACCTGGCCAGTGGAGGAACACTCTTCCTGCCCTATTCTGTAACTGCAAAAAAGGTCAAACCCAGTTGCTCTCCCTGGGTCTCTCCAATCATTTTAGACCTTGTGGGATGTTGCCCTGTTCTTTCCAGGACATTTCATGATAGGAGTCATACCAATTTTTCTTACTTTCTTGGAGTGGATGTATTGTCATCGGGCTCAAATCCAACCTACTAAGTGGGAGGGGCTCCATCCTATATCCATGAGGTGATCACAAAACAACGTATTTTTATGTTACCTATAAAGATGTGTCTCCAATACCTAAAGTAGTCCCTAGATTGATTGTACCCTCTGGATACCAGCATATATGGCATCCCTAAATCGCCCTATTCTCATTTTCCTGGCTGTCTTAGTAACATCGAACTTTATCAACCAGCTTATACAACACAAGTAAACCATAACTTCAGAAAAATCATAACAGCAGGATTAAGCATAATATTTAACTCTTACCATTGTGTCTAATAAATATCAAATTTAAAAGTATGTTAAAAATGACTGTTGCCCACATATACTGCTACTTCTTTCACTGAAGTTGGATTATACTTTATCTATCATAGAAAAAATTTTTTCTAACTCAGTCTGCCAACAGGTCCTAGAGGCAATGCTATTCCAGTGGCAGTGAGCATTTCCTATGCCCTGATCTTGGTTGCAAATACTATTCTCTCATTAAAGGAATTCAACCTTCTTGGAGAAACAACTGATTTTAGAGCTGGAAGAGGAAAAATACAAGATGAGCCTGGAACATCTTCTAGGGCCAAAAATCAAGGAAGTGGTCAAAAAACAAAAGGATGGGGAATGCCAAAGGGGCACAGGTGCCAATCGAAATAGCTTCAAATAGTCAATTTGGGAATAATTTGAGCCACGATCTCTTCTAGAAAGCTAGTCAAATTCACCACACATGTGATGCCTGTCCTCCATCCTTTCTTCCAGCAAGAGCAATGGACCTGACATCTAGGATGGCCATTTGAGGATTTGATTTAAGAAATAAAATTATAGTGTTCTAAGAAGCCACAACTCCATTGGTTGGAAAGAGACTATATAACAGAATGCAGAGACAAAGGTCGCAGGTAGGTAGAAATTGATTTTGTAACCTAGTGGTGAGCTTGCCTTTGCTGAGCGACTTCAAAACTAATTCAGATGTAACAAAACTTCAGATAAAACAAAACTTCAGATGTAATTTTTGCATCTGATAATTTGCACTTAATTTTCTCCACCTGAGAATAACATTGATCACCTGCTGAACTAGATGAAGCTCTAACATAACTTCATCTGTTAATATTTCCAAACCTTAGCTGAATGGATCCTCCATCTTTTCTGCTTCTGTAGGACCTAAAATAGTTGGTGTGTTATAATTATTCATGCTTTCAACTAATATCTGGAATCTTTGAGAGAAGGATTTGTGACATATTCACCTTTATAAGCCAACTCAATATGTGGAACATAGAAGCCTATTGATGAGTGCTGAAAAAATCAAATTACAGTTTTTTCTTAATGAACATATGTCTGCCATGGATCCAGATCAAAGATTTTATGTACATTTCAATCAGTAGATCATAGTAAAATGAGCTAGTTAGCCTCAGAACAGGACCAGAATTGAGCTTCAGAATTACTGGTAATTTGCTGTAGGAATTCTCCTTAAGTAAACTGTCAACTGACTGTCAGTGTTTATATCATTTTGTAACTTACAGTTTTGTTGCTCTAGATAATATTCCACATTAAAGAAATTGTTTGAGTACTGCTAAAAACAAGATCCACAATGCTCAGACAAGACAACCAAGAAAGCGTTTTTTATGAAAGAAGAATGACTGGCTTCTTTGTATGTATGCACATCCTTAGAGTTTCAGGAAACCGTCCTTCTACTTATCTTCATAATAACCTCACAAATAGAGCACATTCTAAATTTCAATTATCTTTTTAAATGTTGAAAGTGATTTTAAATGATATATCTTACAAGTGTCGAAAATGAGGTCAAGAACAACTGAAATCTGCCCCAAATCACATATTAAATAGATTTAGCTGAGATTCAGAACAAAGGTGACTGACATTAATTTGGTTGTTTTCATCTCAAATACGTAGCATTACTTATATTTCCTTAATACAATAAGTATAACTATGTATAAGATAAATAATCCCTGAGTACTTACAACTAAATAAAACATTACTAATAAAATATATATTGAGCAAGTGTCACATTATAGACAGTGCACATACATTCATATATATAAGCAATTTAAACAATAGCTACCATCAGCTGCTCTTTTCTGAGTTACTGATTTTTTTTTTCCATTCATGAGAGCTAGAATCTTAATAAAACTTAGGCATTGTATTTAGCACAGGGTCTAATTTCTAATTTCATGGTTTTATTTATTGAAAATGAAGAGCATAGGTTAGGGACTTATTTGATCACTGGTTGGTGTTAGGGCAATGTGGATGTGTGATGTGGAGGTTAGGCATCACTTTTATTTTTGGACTTTCAGCCAGCATGACCTCTGAGCATAAGAAGCACAGGGCTATGTGTAGGGATCATCAGTAGAAGGCAATTAAGTCACACGGAGCCAAATAGAAGTCTAGATATCTTGCTAATGTTTTCCTGTGTAACTACATGCGCCCTATGGCTAATTACCATAGTATCCTTGCCTTAGAGTGCAATAATTCCTCCTTTTTCTATAGGAGAGGATCACTATAGCATCTGCTTTGTCTACACGCTTTACTTATGCACAAATTTGTGCTGTTTCAGGTTGAGGTTGCTCAAATAGGAGAAAAGGAAAGCTCCCAGGAGCTGCAGTGTCATTCTCCTGCTGATAAGGCAAGAAATTTCTTGACTATAGCTCAGCTGAGATTTTTAGTTTCCACAGCATAGGTTATGTAACTGAGGGTAGAAAACGGCTACAGAATTTGCTTTGCTTAACATACACATTTTTTGATAAGTGAACTTAAATGTGTGTAAAGCAAACCTAACAGTATGTAAAATGGGCATCATCATTAACGTTAGGTTTTTAAAGAAGATAGCATAAACATTTAAAGATATACACTCTAGGAATATCCACTCATATTTTAGTAAATATTAATTTTTCTTCCATATAGTACATTGGTATTCATCTTGATATTCATGTGTTGTAATGCTAAAATGTGTGTGTATTTATGTAATTTTCATAATATAATTTTAGAACCAGCTTACTGAACTCTCGAGAAAAATAGCACCTTCTCATCACCATCAATTACTATAAATTACATATAAATCATTCAAATATTCTCTTACCTCAACTTCTTAGATCTTAAGCCTTCCTGTGAGAAGCTCTGGAACTAAAATAGCAGCACTTCCGGGTTTCTCAAAATGGAGGCAAGGTAGTTAGTCTTTGTATCACAGATTAGATAATCACTGGATTCAGGACACTTGAGACCAAGTTCAATCTTGATTGAGACAATTGCCTGCAGACAAGAGCAAGTCTCTGAGGTAGATGCAGCTGTGAAGTACTGGCAGCTAATACGCCCAGCAACTAAGACAGGCACACATCAGCCCAGAGGAAGAGATCTGGACAGAACCCGACATTATGTACTATATTCTCCACTTTGTCCCACTCACACCCATTTGCTTATTCTTATCTTTGAATAAAATTCTAGTTGGTGGTGTTACTGCGAAACTTACAAGGAAACAGTTTATGAGAAAAACCATAGCCAATATTGCAATTGATTTAAAGGTAATAATTACAATTTACTATCCCCTTATTCCATCATCTATTCTAGATTTCTCTCCCTCTTAGCTAGCACTTATATGGTCTAGGTGGAATGCTTTGTGACAGGATTCAGGCACATAACCTTGAGGATTCAGACTCTGGCTACCTTCATTTCCTCATGCCATGATGACTGCATTTCTGTGTGAATTCACAGTTGAAATTGGGCATGTGAACCCAAAGTATGCCCTAGTAGATCACCTGAGCACCCATAACATTCCTCCCTTCCCCTGTTGTGTAACAGCAGCCCTGCTTTCCCTAGTGATGAGAAACACTTACTCTTCCTGTTATGGTGACCTGTTAGAGTAGGTAGCTAGGCAGACATGAGCAGGGTGGGAGAGACCCCAACCAAAGAATGTCAGGTGACCATCAGGTGATGGTCTGGAGTTTGTTAAACTGTCCCTCTAAAATAATGATTGGTTGCAGCTGATGCCAAGGAAAGACAGTCTCCCAAAAGATAGAAAACACCTGAAGCTGGTGATCAGCAGCTTCTTGATCAGATCTCAAGAGCTGGGTGAGCGGGCTCAAGCATGTGCACTAAGAGACAAAATGGCAGAGTTTAACTGATATATGATCTTCCTCTAGGAACACTCGACTTGTAAGGGAAAATCACCTCAAATAAACATGCACACAATTTCAATAAACACACCGCACGTGCAGTCCTTCCTACATACTAGAAGACCACTGCGCATGCGGACAGCCTGCCCCAAGAAAAAATCAAGGGAGAAGAAATGCAAACTTCAGAAAGATGCCAATGTATAAAACCCCAAATCAAAGGTCAGACAGGGTACTTGGATCTTTCAATTTGCCTGTTTGGCCCTCTTCCAAATGTATTTTACTTCCTTTTGTTCCTGCTCTAAAACTTTTAAATAAACTTTCATTCCTGCTCTAAAACCTGCCTCGGTCTCTCACTCTGTCTTACGTTCCTTGGCCAAATTCACTCCTTCTAGGAGGCAAGAATAGAGTTGCTGCAGACCCATACAGACTTGCCACTGGTAATATCACTATACCTCCCAGTAAAAGCATTTCCCCTTTGGGAAGTAGGACATCTAGAAGTATATTGCTTTACACTTGGGGAATGGAAAGTACAATCCTCCAATGGGTCACCAGAAGGACGGTGCATGATTAATCCTATTTCTACTTCCACTCCATTGGTTCTCAGACACATGGAGAGGCAAATGAAAAGTTGAATTCTATCCTGCCCACAGCTCAGACAAAATCAGTCCATCAAGGCCATGACATTGCAGTAAAGAAAGAGTTTAATTGACAAGAGGCTGTCCGCACCATGCAGGAGAGGGAGTTAAGCCTCAAATCAATCTCATGGAAGGCTCAAAGGTTAGGGGTTTTTCAAAGACAGTTTTCTGAGGAGGGAGATAGGGTATGAGTGCTGATGATTGGCTGGGGATGCAATCTTAGGGGTGGAAAATGGTCCTTCTGCACTGAATCTGTTCTTGGGTGGGATTGACAGGACTGGTTGAATCACAGGTCTCGGTGGGGCCACCCAACTGTCAGAATTGAAAAAGCCTGAAAAGACATCTCCAAGGCCAGTCTTTGTTTTTACAATAGTGATGTTATCTATAGGAGTAATTGGGGAAGTTGCAGATCTTGTGACCTCCAGAATAGCGGCTGGTAATCATTTAACTATGCCTACATCTTAGTAGAATTCAGGCCCTTCTCATTCTCGTAACCTGGTGGCATTTCATTAGTTTTTCAAGACTGGTATAGTTTTGGGGAAGGGCTATTATCATTTAAACTATAAACTAAATTTCACTCAAAGTTAGCTTGGCCCATAACCAGGAATGACTAAAGGCAGTTTGGAGGTTAAAAGCAAGATGGGGTTGGTTAGATCAGATCTCTTACACTGTCATAATTTTCTTCATCTTATAATTTTTGCAAAGGTGGTTTCATCCTCATCAGCATCAGATACTTAATGAAGATGAATGGGATCTTAAGACTCAGAGCTTAAGATAACTCTGCAAAGATGCAAAGAAATAGGCCCTTTTCTCAATTGAGAAAATGTGACCCAAATTGAGAAAGGGGGCTATTCCTTTGCATCTGAGCATGAAAAAGTTATTGTTCACCACCATCTCCAGAAGCTGATAGGTGGGTATTTAAGCTCTTAGGATATTTCAATAGAGCATCACGGCACCCCTATAGTAGTAATATTTAATTGTGATTTTTAGTTTGCATTTTCTTATTGACATGAATTTCAGCATCTTATCAAAAATTTCATTGTATTTTTAAGATTCTCTACATGCATACTTATTGTTTGTATTCTTATTAGCTATTTTATTGATATATGAATGATTAAACTAGGATTATGAATTTGTATTTTTAGTCCTTAATTCTGTTGAATTTTGCTTTGTACAATTTTAAACTATGTTTTGAAAGCAAATAGTCTCAGAATTGTTAATATTCTTGTTGAATTGATGCCTTTTAAATATATTAATGTCATATAACTATACTTATCTATGTAGTTTTGAACTTTGTTTTATAATGTAGAGCTGTAGTGCATATGCAGAGGGAAATGAAGCTAGACAGATTTTATATTAATTTGAACAGGGAGCTATAATTTTGGAATTGTAAATGTAAATTTTATATCTACGTCAAGCAATTCAAATGCTAAGTAGGACAGTAAAAAAAAAAAAGTAGTAGGGCAAAATGCAATTTCAACAGTTAAATTTCAGTGATTTAAAAAATATCCCCCTCACTCCCCTCCAAAATACAACTACTCTATTTTGCTTCCTGCCAGCAGCTAAGCTTCTTAAATTGACACTAGTTTTTGGGTTTTTTTTTGAAAATGCAGAAAGGAGAATAAAAATTTTCCTGAAGACTAAGTAAATAGAAAACAGTTCTACACCTTAATTTAGAAATCATTTAAACACTTTTATCTGTGTTTTTGCAATGTGTACATACTGGTTCAAAGTAGGTAATTGTGTATTCTGTGAGTAATCAGTGAGAGAAAATATAGGATAGAAATGTTTGTTCAGTGCTCAAATTAAAATGATGGAGATGGAACTATGGTTTTCATCAGTGTTCATTTTAATTACCATCTCCTTAAAAAAACCATTACCACACTACAAACTTCAAATGTTCCATCTTTCTCCTATTAGAGACATTATAAAATATTTTCTGTGCTTTCAGTTTTTTTTTTTTTTTTTTTTTTTTTTTTTTGAGACGGAGTCTCGCTGTCACCCAGGCTGGAGTGCAGTGGCGCGATTTCGGCTCACTGCAGGCTCCACCCCGCGGCTTTCAATATTTTTATGGGGTTAGATTCCACGTATAAAAACCAGGTTTAACAAGGAGAAAGAAACCATTGGCATTAATTAAGTTAGAATTCCAAATAGCTGGTTGTATATAATTTGTTTCATGGAAATTAATATCAAATTAATATATCCACCACATTTTTTTATTTTGATACAACAAGTTTACTGTTTACTGCTTTCTTGTTAAAAGAGTAATAGAAGAAAAGTATAAAATATTAAATAATTAGATCTGCCTGAAAGTCATGTCAACAATCTGTAACATTTGAAGGATTTCTGAAATGCACTGTGGCAAAGACCTGGAAGTACACTGCTCAGATCTCTCTTGCAGAAAAAAAAGCTGCTGTCTGGAGTGGAATCAGCTGACAGCCCCAGCTCCTGTGCCTTCATATGTAAAATTTTATATCAAAAAGGTAAACTGAGGCACAATAAAAATTTTAAAAAAGTTTATTTGAACAAGTAGCAATTCATGAATTGAGCAGCTTTGAACTGGAAGTGGTTTAGGACCTCTGCCAAAGGAAGGCAAGTGGAAAGCTTTTGTAGCGGAAACAATGCAAAAAACAATTTAAAAAAGTATTTATACAGTTTTTTTATTTGGTCTACTCTACTAGAAAGTTCCTAGTTATATATGTTGGTGTCTCATAAACTTGTTTTTTTTTTTTTTTTAGTTTGTTTTCTGTTGCTTATACAGAATACCTGAGACTGAGTAATTTATTAAGAAAATAAATTGATTTCTTACAATTATGGAGACTGAGAAGTCCAAGGTCAACGGTCCACATCTGGCCGGAGACTTCTTGCTCTGGTGGGATGGGGACTTTCTGCAGGGTCCCAAGGCAGCTCAGGGCATCACATGTGAGGAGGCTGACTGTGATAGCTCAGGTCTCTCTTCCTGACTTCTTATAAAGCCACTAGTCTCCCTCCCATGATAACCTATTAATTCATTAACCCATTGATATATTAATCCATTAAAGAATAATCGACTCATCAGGGCAGAGTTCTAATGATCCAATCACCTCTTAAAGACCCACCTCCAAATACTGCCACAATGGAGATTACGTTTCAACATGAGTTCAGGAGGAGACAAACATCCAAACCATAGCACCATTCAAAACAGACAAGAGGCCTGTAAAGTCCGTAAATGGGCACTTCATATATCTCCACTAATTCATAAGCATAAAGTTTCTAATAATTCCATAATGGAATGAACTTCAATAAGACCTACAAAAAACTCAGAATGTTTAAGAAATTTACATTACTGGGAACACAATTACTCGGACTACAAAGGAAGAGACAGCACAACATAAAAAATACTTTGGACCCCCAAACTACTACTTGCAGGAAGAAAGCTGAGAAAATTATTTGGCTGCAGACATGCGCTACATTTTATGTTAAAGGAAGGTGAATTTAAAGGCTAGAACCCAAAGCCCAGAGAGTAGAGTAAAGATTAAAGGAGAACATCCCCAGAAAAGAGTGGGTACTAATTAAGAGATTGCCAACACGTGCCCAGCTGGGTTTCAGAATTGCTACCAGACAGTGACTGCTTTGTGCCTCTTTTCCCCCTTTAAGAATGCTAGGGTCCAAGGTGGTTTCTTTATACTGACGGCATTATTGGATGTTGAGATCACCAGCGGTAGATACCTTGACAGGACTTCCAATGAAGAGAAATGACATTCGAGAAACAGTATCCCAAATATAGTACCCAAGAAGCCTCATCTGTCCCTAAATCTGAAATACATGACAGGATCCTGAAGCTCAAACCTAAGATTAATGATGTAATAGACAATAAATTATCTATTACATTATACCAATGATGTAATAGATAACACTTCTGAGGATCTTGGGAGAGTCTGAGTCTATTAAGCATGTGGATAAGTATAAATAATTTGTGGTCAGAAAGCAAACTGTGATTGTTTAAAAATAATTGGTAAATCTACTGATGTTCTTTCTCTCAAGATGGGGTTTATCTCCCCTTGAAAATAAGCTGGCCTAGTGACTCACTTTACCCAATGGCAGGTAGCAGAACTGACATGGTGTGACTTGCAAGTCTATGTTGGAAAGAGTGAAACAGTTTCCATCTTTCTATTGAGATGGAAAAGTTTCCATCTTTCTATTGAGATGGAAAAGTTTCCATCTTTCTATTGAGAGAGTTTTCCTTTTTTTTTTTTATTTTCCAAGTGGCCACATATTATTCATCTAATTATCCATCCAATTATCCTTATTTTATACCACAATAAAAAGTTCAATAAATTCTAACAGTTCAAAATAGCAGATATCACATTCTCTGAGGTTCAATGAATTAAAACCAAAAATGTATATTTTGAAAATACACATATATTGTTTACAATTAATTGATATAATATGAATGTGGTAAAGGTGATGTTAGATATGAATTCTTATCTAAATATGGAGACTAATGTGCCTGCTACTTTGGAGGCAAATAGTCAATAAAGATTTGCTGAATAAATCAATGCATGCATGCTTGATGGAGACATGAAAGCATTTGAGGTGGTATAAGCTTAAATAAATAAGAAATGAGCTGGGAATGCCTATGCCATTACCATGCCGAAATATAAAGAAGTTCATATTCTGAAAAGAAACATTTTTAAAGAGTTTTCTTCTTCTTTGACCATATTAATCAACAAATCAAAGCACAGATATAGAATCAGAATGTGCTACTAACTGACCTGATATAATATTTATTTGACTGACCAATTTTAACTTAATGAAATTTGTAAGAGTGTTCACAATTTTGGGTCTAATACAACCAAATATGAATAAATAAATGTTATTTAACCCAAAGCCCTAAACAAGTACGAAATAAAAAAAAAATACTTTGGACCCCCAAACTCCTATGGTCAGAAAGTAAAGTGCCACAAATCTATCTTTTTACATATTCTTCTCACCCCATTTTCTCACAAAAGGGATAATACATCCTAATTCAGAAGAGCCAGCACATTTACATGTTGTCTAAGTATTTTTCGTATGTCTTCATATTCATATCTGGAGATACTTCAAACAAAGTATTTCAAATAAAGTGTATGTGACATCTCCACACAAAAATAATATATAATCTAATTGTTTTGCTCACAAGCTTCCTATCTGAAGAAAGATTCTATTTAAACAAAACAAGAACCTCTTTTCCTGTTTTAGATTACATAAAAATAAAATAAAATGGGCAAAACTGTACCCATGTTCATTTTATCTGTTAATGTTCTCAAATAGAAACTGGTTTCTCCAGTTTTGATTGTTTCCCCGTCTGTGGAGACATAATACTTCAAAGAAATGAAAAGATTTCTAGCACAAAATACACAGCATGAGTCCATTCAACTGACCACAGGATGCTGCTACGTCTCTGCTGGATTGAAACTTCAAACCCATTAAACAGAGTGGAAGCATTAAAACAGAGTGGAAGCATTATAACTTCTGAAGTCCAAAGTTCAGCAGGGAGTGTTTCAAGATGCTTCCTACCTCTAATTTTCTCTAATAACACAGAGGCCGTTGTCATCTCGTAGGGCACAGTGGTCAATAACTGCCGAGATTCTCTGCCTGTAGTCAGTCAGATAATAACTTATTTGCTTCATTAATTGGTGAAACAGCAGCGACTTTTAGTGGGGATGGAAAAAGAAAGAAATATTGCTTTGAAATATGAAGTTATATGTTTTTATTTTGAAGTCAGAAAAGATTATGTTAGGAAGTTTTGTATGATAGTGTCACCTTTCAACCCCTGCTTTTCCCTGCTGATTGTAGATAGCTCTAAGGTGGGACAAAATAAATCAGTCACATTTTGTGAAACTGACCCTTTCTTCTCTTGCCACATAGGATAACTGAAGTAACAAGGGAGTGCTTTCTTTCCAGTTTTCCAGCTGTGTTTCTAGCAAGCAACCTTCCAAATGCATTCATATTTGAAGACATTAGAATGATCACATTTTCTGAATAATCTGTATTACAGAGGCAATGGTTTAAAAAAATGTTTTTTTTATCTCTGTCCCCAATTTCAGTGTCTATATATTATTAATTTATGTGTATGTATATATGTTTCTGTGTGTATATATGTGCGTGTGCGTTCTATCTACCCAATGAAAACACTGATTTTTAATTACTGGTAAGGCCACTGCATAGTCCCTAAGTATCTGATAGTTGAATTACTTAAGCAGATTAATATTGCCGCTTTTATTTGGCACTAGATTTAGAGATAGACAGTGTATAAAGATATATACTTTTTGGTGAATACTCAATCCAAAGTCAAACAATACTTCCTTGTTCTGATTTGGATAAAAAATATTCACCTGTGAAAATAAGTTCAAAGGGTATATATATCTATCCATATATATATATATATAGTCAGGCCTCTGAGCCTAAGCTAAGCCATCGCATCCCCTGTGACCTGCACGTATACGCCCAGATGGCCTGAAGTAACTGAAGAATCACAAAAGAAGTGAAAATGGCCTGTTCCTGCCTTAACTGATGACATTCCACCACAAAAGAAGTGAAAATGTCCTCTCCTGGCCTTAACTGATGACATTACCTTGTGAAATTCCTTTTCCTGGCTCATCCTGGCTCAAAGAAGCTCCTCCACTAAGCACCTTGTGACCCCCACTCCTGCCAGCCAGAGAATAACTCCCCTTTGACTGTAATTTTCCTTTACCTACCCAAATCTTATAAAACGGCCCCACCCCTGTCTCCCTTCACTGACTCTCTTTTCGGACTCAGCACGCCTGCACCCAGGTGAAATAAAGATGAGTTAGTGCGTGCAGTGCACCAGCATGTCACATGTATACATATGTAACTAACCTGCACATTGTGCACATGTACCCTAAAACTTAAAGTATAATAATAAAAAAAAAAAAGAAAAGAAATAAACAGCCTTGTTGCTCACACAAAGGCTGTTTGGTGGTCTCTTCACATGCACGCGAGTGAAATATATATATATGGATATATATAAAACCACTTGTATATTTTTGTTAGTTTTTTTCTAATTATATTCTTGTTTGCTTTTTTTATCATGACAAAATACATATAATAGGAAATTTACCATATTATTTATTTCTAACTATATTCCTAATTGTTACAATAAGACCCTTAGAAACAGAAGGTGTGATCTTTGGAAAGGCATCTTTTCTTTGTACAGTTAAAGTATTCACCAATAAAACCAAATTAATCTTATGGAGTAGTATGCAAATTTTAAAAGCAAAGTGTTGGAGGGTAGTAAAATAATACATGTTCTTGAATTTTAAATTTAGGTTAAAAATCAAGTTTTTCTCAATTTACATATATAGATAAGATACCAAATATAACTAAAGGCATTAATAAAAATTTGATTCCCGTCTACTCCTCCCTCATATCATTCAAACATTTGCCAGAGGCAAATTAAACTCTTCTTTATTTATAAATATATAAACTTGCAAAACCATTTATTAGTTTATAAATTTTAGATTATTTTCTAAGGAACGTCTCCAATGAAAGTTGAAAATTTACTTCTGAAATCCCTACTCTCTACTCCCTCCCTATCCCCTCCCCCAAAAATATTTTATTAAATAATTAGACTTCACATTATTTAGGTTGAGTAGTCAACTATGACCTGAGAGCCTTCATGAGTAATGTTTGCTTTTCCTGAGGTTAATAATGATTAGGTTTACATTTTTTCTACTTTTTCATTTAATTATTACTAATTTTCCCAAATGCACCAACATTTAATCATAAGGTAATAAAAATATTTTCATATTCGCACACGTTAGTTGTGTGATTCTCCAATGAGAATATGCTATGGAGCCTTTCAGTTTCCCTGTCCTGCAGATTGTTTCCCCTCTTATTCTTTTATGCAAAACTTGTTCTGGGATTTCATTTTCCTGCTTTTCATTGACCTATTCTCTGTTTTATTGATCACTTATTTATCTTTCTTGAATACATGTGAATATAATATCTGCAATAACTTCCTAACTAAGGGTTTCTGCAAGGCACAGTTTTTGCATGCTAATTCAACAATATTTTCATTCTCCTCTTACACTTATTATACAGTAGTCCCTGCTGTATGTGAAATGAATACATTCCAAAACCCCCAGTGGAGGCCTGAAACTACAAATTGATTTTCATCAGTGGGAACATGCTTCTGTTTATGTCTTCCATGCAGAAATTTAATGTCTTTTCCATCTTAACTAAGCACTTATCATACACCACAGCCATAATTTTTGCAGTTTGAGGTATGATAGAAAAACTGGCATGAATTTCTTTTTCTTTTCTTCACAAATAACGGATAGAAGTTTCATTCTTACTGTAGATCTTGGCAAACGCAGCATATTTTTTTTCTTTCTTAAGTAGAGAACTTTCCCCTTTTCAGTTAAAATAAGAACTTGATGGCTTCTCTTTGGCAGATCTGAATTGCCAGCATCACTACTCTTGCTCCTGTAAGCCATTATTGAGTAAAATAAAGGTCACCTGAACAACAGCACTGCATACTGTAACAATCTGAGAACCAACATGGCCACTCAATGACTAACAGGGTTAATACACTGGACAAAGGGATGATTCCTATCCTGGGTGAAATGAAGCAAAACGATGTGGGATTTATCATGCTATTCAAAACAACAGGCAATTTAAAATGTATGAATTGTTTATTTCTGGATTTTTTCATTTAATATTTTCAGACCACAGTTGACCAAGGGAAACTGAAACCGCAGAAATGGAAACTGTGGATAAAGGCTACTACTCTTTATACTTAGCATAGATTACTAACATAAAAATCATTTTCACCAATAATTTTAGTACATTTGAGTTATCTTCTAGCTTGTGATGTTAAGAAATTTTACCATATTTTGATTTTTGGTGTTTTGTATGTGGCTCAGAAAATATCGATATCTAAATACTTTCCTTCTCTCCATATTTTTGGCCCCTCTGTCTTCTTTGATTACCCTCATTTCTAATTGTTTGTCTCCCCAACCTCATGACATGTACTAAAGCTTTATTGACTGCTTTGACCCTTGATAACAGCTCACTACTTTTATTTACACCAAGAAAAACTAAATGTCCTGAGTGAAAACCCAACTGAGATGCTCTCTCCTGTGTCTTTTCTCTACATAATCTTGGCCTCTAATGTTCTGACTATCTTAACATATCTCTAAACCCTCAAATAGATATACATATTTTTAAACATGTTTTTATACTTTCTAGATCTTTTTTTTTGTCAGAAATTAGTTTGTTAAAAGCTGTACCAGCAAACCTTTAGGCATTGATTAATGTTGGAATGAGGCAACAAGAACAAATTCATGCACTCTGATCCAGGTTAAGATTATTCCTCTTCCAGGATTCATTTATTTAATAACTGTTTTTAAAAAATGCTCCAAGTAGCACCAGGGAGTTTCAATTATATCTTACAAACCTTTTCCTTTCATCTTATTATTTACTTAGTTTTTCTAAATATTTACAGAACAAAAAATATGCACATTGATTTTTTTTAACTGTGTTAAGCTGTGTTTTTGTATTTATAAAACCAGAAAATGTACTATTTGGATTACGTATACAGGTTAGTCATTGCGACTCTTTGGCTAAATTTACCTAAGTTGCGACAGAAGACACATGACAAAAAATTGAAATGCATTTTTCCTGGTCACATTAATCAGGGTACAAATGACAATATCATTTTAAAGACATAAAATGGCAGATAATTCAGTCATCTCATCATTTATAAATATTTTAATAATTTTGCTTCTAAAATATTTCAGATTATATTAAGTATATTATTACATATATTAAATATATTTTATGTGATTCTGTCACTGTTTATATAGACTGAATAAAATGACAAGCACACAGGAATGAAAAACATTGTAAGTAATTATATTTTTTATTTATGGAGAAAATACTTTTTAATAATTGAACTTTGTTGATCATGCTTAATACCATCAGCATCCAATTTTATAACAAAATTTTACAATTTGATAACATTTCAAATATTATACCATTGACATTTCAAATGGTATATATATATATATCTATATGTGTGTATATATATTTCAATTCACAATGTCAGCAAATGTACCTTTATAATAGAGCAAGCAAATAGAAGTCTTTAAATGGAAATTGGCTCTACTGAATAAATTCCACTTATAGAGTCATTCAGAAGAGTATTTCTATTATAATTTCCCATATGATTCTCACCTCAAGAAGAATAATGAATTGTAATACTAACGTATTAAAAAATAAAATTCTAGTTTTAAGTATTTAAACCATAGCTATATTAATCCATTCTCATACTGCTATAAATAAATACCTGAAACTAAGTAATTTATAAAGAAAAGAGGTGTAATTGACTCTTTGTGCCACAGTTACAGGAAGCATGGGTGGAGAGACCTCAGGAAACTTACAATCATGGTGGAAGGTGAAGGGGAAGCAGTCACATCTTCACATGGCCACAGCAGGACAGAGAGAGAAGGCGGAGATGTTACACATTTTTAAACAACCAGATCTCCTGAAAACTCATTTACTATCATGAGAGCAGCAAGGGCAAAGTCCACCCCCATGATCAAATCACCCCTCACCAGGCCCCTCCTCCAACACTGGGGATTACAATTCAACATGAGATTTGGGCAGGAACACACATCCAAATCATATCAATAGCAATGTAACACACTTTCAAATTTTGTTCAAGTTTCACATAAATAATTCTCCAGATATCACCCTTTCCAAATCCTGATAATCTGATGATACTTAGTTCCTCACCTTCAAGAGAAACTAACACTGCTACACAGGATCTTCATCAGTCAACATATTAAAAATGTGTGTATGTGAGATTTAGAGAAAACACTAATAATGGTATAGAGGTGCATAAAAATTACCAGTAGAGCTTTGTAAAATAGTAATAAAGTTTCATGTTAAACATCTGAACCCATGTGTGTATTTTCATACCTTCTGGAAACCCACTAAAGTTGTATTAAGGGATAGGAAAAAATATGTACAAGGACATATAGAGACACAGTGAAGAAAAAACAATGATTGACTAGTGATACTGACCACTTTTTGAAGGATGAAAATAAGGAAGGGAAGCAAATCACCCCACAAAATCTAGAACCCTATAAGTTTCATGGCTAGGAAGCCGAAAGAAGCATAAATCATGATTTTAAAGTTTGGAAGGGAATAGAGTTAATGCTGTACGATGAGCAGCTTGGATCCTCATGTTCCTTCTCCAACCTTATGCTGGAGATAAAAGAGTATGTATCATGAGCAACTTAAACAAGAGCCTTCCACCTACATACAGTGTATGCAGCAGAGAAAGCATGTTGCTTCATGGAAATCCTCCATCTCATTCTGTATTCCACTGCAATCTGGAATTCTGGCAGTTGAGTTTACATGAGCATTTATGCATGTACACATATTTGGGAATAAACAAATTGGCATTCCCCTCACTCACCTCCCTCAGAGAATCAGAATTGCCCATGAAAAAAGACCTATATCTATTGTCATTTGGTAATTTCCTTAACGAAAGCAACTTTCTGCCCAGTCATTTTGCTGAGTCACACCACTCTGTAATTCTCAATATTATGCAATACACTCCAGTTTCTTTTTAATGAATTTCCTTGAATGTCTGCTGGCAGCAGAGAAACACCGAATGTTAGAGTAAAGATTAACACATGAAAAAGAGACCAAAATAAATGAAACAGAAATTTGGCATAAACATAGACCATTCAGGAAGCCAACAAAACAAACAATCCAAAAACACCTTTAACAATTTTATCAGTATACCAGAGATATGAAAGAAGGTTCATTTACAAAACAAGAGCATATGCCTATTTTTGTTATTTTTTTAAAGCAATGCTAGAATGCCATTTGGATGATGGAAAAAAAATGATTAAAATGAGGGTCAAAAGGAAGTCCAGAAAATTTCTTTCTCCTAGAAACTAGACCAAAATATCAAAAAAGCTAGAAGGGTATACAAAAGAAAAGTGGAGAATTTATTCAGAAAGTTTCCAAAATAGAGAACAGAAAATTCAGAGTAATATATCATTCAGATAAGTCAATTAAAAATATTTTTCTCAGGTGAAGACATGAGTTTCAGAACTAAACTGATACACTGAGTTTCCAGTATATTGAAAGAAAATAGACATAAAATAAGGTATGTAATGGGGCACTGCCCAGGTCAGCAATCTCTTCAAGACTGAATTGGACATTTCTCCCAGTCGCTATGTGCCTTGACAGCTCACAGCTTGTAGAATTCCAATATCTGGCAATTACCTTTGGCCAAAGGGGGCCACCTTACTGAAATGTCCACTACCTCCACCCCACCCCGCTTCCTGGAGACAGCACTCACTTAATGCTGGTCAATATAGAAGTTATAAAGAATTTTTCCTCTTGTCACAATTGGGAAACACTGTGCAGGTCTAATTGCCTTGAAGATAATATTTTTCCATTTTTTTCGCTTTCTTTTGCTCCCCACAATGTGTTAATCCAGAAAGCATTCCTCAATATACTTTATGCAAACAAATTCTGCTGTTATAGTCTGCTTTCTAGAGCACTTACGTTGCAACTAGCATAGTATAATTTTAGCAACAAATGGTAGAGATCCTGATATTTTTATTGCCAAATGCAATGTTAATTCTTATTCAATAATAAGAATAAGAGCAAGAACACTAGGAACTAGAAAACAATTTAAAATGACCCTAGAGTTCCTGGTGAACTTGACTTTCAAGCTCAAGATCTATACCCAGTTTATATATCAATTCAATGAGAAAGTAAAAATATTTTCAAATCAAGATTCAAAATTTTATCTTCCACACACTGATATTAGAAACTTATTTGTATGCATACACACACAGATAAATAAAAAATACAGAGGGAGATAGAGAATCAGCATAACAAAGAATATACCACAGAATAATTGAAAATAGATTTCCATAGATTTCCATATTCAATGATTTTTTTTCCCTAAAGTCAATTGCTGAATTTTTAAGGGTATGGCATCCAGCTGGAGAAAAACCAAAACAAAGAACTAAAAAAACAAACCTCAATAGATAAGTAGCTTTCATAAATTCTTGTTTATTATGAAAATGAAAAGATAAGACTCAGAATAGGAGAAAAATATTTTAGATCAAGTTGTAACAAGAAATGGAACGCATACTGTATATAAAGAATATTCCAGTTTCTGCAGTAAGAGGAAAAACAACAAAACTGAAAATGGGCAAAAGAAACAGAAGCTTCACTAAAGAAGGTACATGTATAGTAAATAAGTACATAAAAGATTTTTCAACATTAGTCATACGACATATGCAAATTAAAATCAGGAGATACTACTACATATCTATTAGCATGGCTAAAATCAAAATAATGACCATGCTAAATTATGGCAACAACGTGGTGCAACTGAATTTCTAATGTATTGCTGGCATGAATATAAAAATGTGCAACTACTCTTAAAACAGTTTGACATTTCCTTACAAATCAAATATATAATTAAAATTACCGTCTAATCTAAAAATTCCACTCCTGATTGTTTACCCTAGAGAAACACAAATTTATGTTAATGAACAACCTATACTAAAATATTTAAAAGGAAACATTTCTTCATAATCTCACCAAACTGGAAACAAATCAGAAACAAACGTGGTCATCCATTTAATGCAATACTGTTCAGCAATAATAAGGAATGAATGGTTGATACACACAATAACTTAAATGTATCATAAAGATATTACACAGCGTAAAATATGTCAGTAGGAAAGGTTTATAATTTGTATGATTCCATATATGTGACATTCTCAATCTTCCCCAGAAGATAAAACCAGGGTGATGGAGAACAGAGCAGTGGTTATTGCTGGGGGTTAGGGATGAGGAAGGGTGTTACTATAAAAGGGTGACATGGGGCATGGGGGTGGTTTGTGGAGTAATAAAATTGTTCTATATTCTAACTGTGGCAGTCGTTACACAAATCTATTGATGTGTAAAATGTATAGAACTCTATACCAAAAAGTCAATTTTATTAGTGTGATACAAAAAAGTTAAATTAATGGCAACGAAAATAAAGAATAAAGAGGAACAAAAGTAAAGAAAAGAAGGAGATAAACAAAATAGATACTAAATAGCAAGGTGGAAGATTGAATCCAAACTACTAATGTTATGTTGAAAAAAATGAAATACTGTTATTTTTTTGAAGAGATTAATTATATACATTTTATAAAGGAGACCTTTGAATAGAAGAAAACTAAAAAGTGTAATTAATATCATTAAACACTAAAGAAAAGAAAGCTGAAATATCTTTTTAAATATCATATGTGGCACACTGACCAACGCTAGAAACATAGAGGGATATTTCATAATGATAAAAAAAAGTAATTCAACTAGAAAATTGTACCGGTAACTTCAATATATATGAAACAAAGTTTAGCAAAAATAAAAATAGAAATACATGTATTTACAACCACATTGGCAAAATTTAAGTATCTCTGTCAATCGTTGATTGATCAAGCTGACAAAAAGATCAATGGAAACATAGATCTGAACGATTCAATTAATAACAACTGTTAGATTCAACCAATAAATTTTCCTGATTGAGACAAAGTCAACACTACAACAAATGAAAAAGTATACATTGTTTCAAGTTTACCTAGACGATTTATAAATATCAGTATGAGGAAGTCCTAGCTAGAGCAATCAGATAACAGAAAGAAATAAAGGGGATCCCAGTTGGAAATGTAGAATTCAAATTATCCTTTTATGTAGATGATACAATCTTATATTTGAAAACAACTAAAGACTACACCAACAAACTGTTAGAACTGATAAACAAATTCAGTAAAATTGCAGAGTCCAAAATTAACATACAAAAATTAGTAGAATTTCTTGATGCCAACAGCAAACAGCTATTTGCAATAGCTACAAATAAAATTAAATATACGGGAATTAACAACCAAAGATGTAAAAGATCTCTACAATAAAAACTATAAAATATTGATGCAAGAAATTGAAGAACATACCAAAAAATGAAAAGGTATTCCATGTTCATGGATTGGAAGAATCAATATTGTTAAAATGTCCATAAGACCAAAAGCAATCTACAGGATCAATGCAATTCCTATCAAAATAGCAATGACATACTTCACAGAAATAGAAAAAAAAAATAAATGTATATGCAAGCAAAAAAGACCCAGAATAGCCAAATCTATCCTAGGTAAAAAGAACAAAACTGCAGCAATCACAATATCTGACCTCAAATTATACTACAGAGCCTTAGTAATCAAAATAGCATGGTACTGGCATAAAAACAGATACGTAGACCAGTGGAACAGAATAGAGAGCCCAGAAATAAATACAGATATCTATGGGGAATTAATTTTCAACAAAGGTGAGAAAAACCTACATTGGGGAAAGGGCAATCTCTTTAATAAGTGGTGCTGGGAAAACTGGATATCCACATGAAGAACAATTAAACTAGACCCCTATCTCTTGTCATGTAAAACAATAAAATCAAATGGATTAAAACTTAAATCTAAGACCTCAAGCTATAAAACTACTAAAACAAAACACTGGGAAACTCTCCAGGACATTGGTCTGGACAAAAATTCCCCACAAACACAGGCAACCTAAGCAAAAATAGACAAGTGGGATGCACCAAGTTTAAAAGCTTCTGCACAGCAAAGGAGACAATCAATAATGTAAAGAGACAACCTACAGAACAGGAGAAAATATTTGCTAACTATTCATCTGACAAGAGATTAGTAACCAGAATATATAAGGAGCACACAGAACTCAATAGGAAAAATTCCAATTAAAAATAGGCAAATAATCCAATTTAGTAATAGGCAAAAGTTCTGAATAGACATTTCTCAAAGGAAGACATACCAGTGGCATGCAGGTATATGAAAAGGTACTCAACATCACTGATCATCAGAGAAATGCAAATCAAGACTACAATGAGCTATCATGTCATCCCAGTTAAAATGGCTTTCACTCAAATTACAGGAAATAACAAATGCTGGTGAAATATGGAGAAAAAGGGAACTTCATACACTGTTGGTGAGAAAGTTAGTACAACCACTATGGAAAACAATTTAGAAAACAATTGTCTTCAAAAAAAACTAAAAGTAGAACAACTATATAATACAGAAATCTCACTGTTAGGTACATACCCAAAAGAAAGAAAATCAGTATATGGAAGAGAGATCTATACTCCCATGTGTATTACAGCACTGTTCACAACAGCCAAGGTTTGGAAACAACCTAAATGTCCATCAACAGACAAATGGATAAAAAAAAATGTGGTACATACGTACATTTCTTACTATTCAGCCATAAAAAGAATGATATCCTGTCTTTTGCAAAAACATGGATGGAACTGGAAGTCATTATGTTAAGTGAAATAAAGCAGACACAGAAAGACAAACTTCACATGTTCTCACTTACTTGTGGGATGTAAAAATCAAAACAATTGAACTCATGGATATAAAGTAGAAGGATGATTACCAGATGCTGGGAAGGGTAGTTGGTGGGAGTGGGAGGGACGCGTATGGTTTATGGGCACAAAAATGTAGTTAGATACAATGATTAAGATCTAGTATTTCAGAACACAACAGGGCAACTATAGTCAACGATAACTTATCATACATTTTAAAACTGAAAGAGTATAATTGGATTGTTTGTAACACAAGGAAAGGATAAATGCTTGAGGGAATGGATTCCCCATTTACACTAATGCTATTATTGCATGTTGTATTTCTGTATCAAAGTATCTCATGCATGCCATAAATGTATACGTCTATTATGTACCCACTAATTGCTTTTTAAAAAAAGTATGAGCATGACAGGGCATAGGAAGTAAATCTCAGCAAATTACAAAATATGGTAATCGATTAGAAATTATCCATCCACAGTGGAATTAACCTATTCATCAATAACAGGCAAACAACATAAAAAATCATCAATGATTAGAGTAAAGCAGCATACTTCAAAATAATCTAAGTGGCAAAGAAACCACAATGGAAGAGATAATATTTTGAATTGAATAATAAAGAAAATACAGTGTTTTAAAATTTGTTAATTAATTATTAGAGGAAAATTTTTGCCTTGAATACCTATAACAGAAAGCCTGAAAATCATTACTATAAATATGTAACTTATGATGCTACAAAAGTTAAACAGAAAAAAGTATTAGGAAAATAAAGATATATAGAAATACGTTCATAACCACCTTACTATATGCTTCTCATAACCATTAGCAGAAATAAAGACCAAATGGCCATTAAGGCTACATTAATATGTTGTGGTGTATTCTTTTTTTTTCTTTTCTTTTCTTTCTTTCTTTCTTTTTTTTTTTTTTTTTTCTGAGGCAGAGTTTCACTCTTGTCACCCAGGCTGGAATACAAAGGCACAATCTCAGCTCACCGCAGCCTCCACCTCTCAGGTTCAACCAATTCTCCTGCCTCAGCCTGCCAATTAGCTGGGATTACAGGTGCCCGCCACCATGCCCAGCTAATTTTTGTATTTTAAGTAGAGACGAGGTTTCACCATGTTGGCTAGGCTGGTCTTGTACTCCTCAACTCAGCTAATCCACCCACCTCAGCCTCCCAAAGTGCTCAGATTACAGGCGTGAGCCACCGCGCCTGGCCTGTTGTGGTGTATTCTTGCAATGAATTGTAGAAAGAAATGAGAATTAATATACTGATGCTATACATAACAATTGGATGAATCATGCAAATGATAAAGGTGAATGAAACACAAAAGCACACTCAAATTGCTCTAATTCAGCTTACATCGTGTTAAATGTAGCCAAAACTAATGTGTGGTAACAAATCAGTTTATTAACTAGCTCCGAAGCCTTAATAACTGAGGAGCTGGGCTTCTGTTATGTTTGGAAATATAATTCTTGATCCTTCTGTTTACATAAAATACTCGTGAAGTTGTCCAATTATAGTTTACTTGTGCATTATTTTGCATATATTTTATACTTCAATCAAATAAACATGTACATACTATAATTCAATAAAAATGCTTCCTTAAAGCGAACACTAATAATTTTCACTATTCTCATGGATCTGTATTTCAAATACTGTATTTTAAGGCAGATAATGTCAAACAGATCCTCTAAATCTGGGAAAAAATCTCTGTAGCTCTTTGTTGGTTACACAATAGGACATGAAAAGAAACTTGTTTGTATTATATAGTCTACTCATGTAGTTGTATAATAAATAAGGACTATATAATTTACTGAATTACTTTGAAATCAAGTTAATGATTATCCCAATGTGGTCTATTTACAATGAGGTCCAATATTTCCAATTAGGTTGAGTAGCTCTCATGATGTGAAAAAAAGCACTGCAACTTTCAGACATTTAGTTTGCTCCTCTATCCTTTAACAATTAGTACTGTTTTGAGGGTGAGAAAGCGCTTAACAATTCTCTAACCTTCTACACCAAAGAATATATACATAAAATATTTTTCTATATAGGAGCAAGCACCATTTCAAGGGACACAAAACAGGCTATTTCAGCATCGCCTCTGCCTTCACAGCCCTTGCCGATCAAGTAAGTGGAGCCTGCTGTTTACATTGGTTTATTCACTACAGGGAGGGGTGGTTTCCAGTTGATGTGTGTGATTGCTTTTCTGTATACAATTTAAACCCTGGAATTTTGCAGCTTTTAAACGGCAACCTAAGGTAGATTATGTCTTCCCCAGTAAGCCTGCCAATTTCAGTCTTTTTGAGAGGATAAGAGATAAGACACAGGGGTGAGAACCAGGGGGAAATCATCAAAGAAGTGTAAAGAGAGCCAGGGCAGAGAAAAGAGGAGTGAAAAATAAGAGATCACAGGGAAAATATTCTTGTTATGCATCAGCTCTTTCTTAAGTGGGTAAGTATGTTTTCAACTTCAAATCCTGTGTTGAATCAAATACTCTTCTCAGAGCTGTGTTTCCTGCTGATGATATTCTTGTTCCAGACTCCTGTTCCTGCTGAGTGAGTTTTGCATTTTTATAAGGGCTGATTATAAAATGAGTGGCCTTAAATCTGTTGCTACCAAGGGATGCCTGCTAACGGGTTTAGTCTGAATTATTGTAATAGTAGGATAAATAGGTCCACTCAACCATGTGTTTATACCTTTCTTCGTTTCATTTTATATCTTATTGACAAAACGGTGCCATATTGTCAGGATTCACAGCAAATTATTTGGTATTTAGGATTCTCTAGTCCTACATGTTAATACCCAAAATTTCAGGAGTATGTTATTTTTCTGAACAAGTGAAAATATGTCTAAAAACAAGGTATTTCAGAAAATGTGGAATTATTTTTTTCCTTTAAAGCGCTCAGCTAAAATGATTTAACGTTCTTTGTGGTTGATGTGCTCTCTTAAATCTGCCTTTTATTTCTATGGAAGGTGTCACATAGCAAAGTGATAAATACAGTTACTGAGATGTTAACTGCACAGTAATTCACAACTCGAAGAAAATAATTAGTTAAAATAGTAAAGGATGAACAATGGACCAGGCAGGCTTCAAGATGGGTAATGAATACAATTCGGATTGATTTTCGCATTGGTGGCCACGTACACCAATCTCTCCAACAATGGTTAGTGATAATAAGATTAGCCTTCCCATTTTTTTTTCTGCATGATAGTGTTTGTCATAGTGCTTATTTCAATTGGAATGTGGAGAAACATCAATGTCCTGCTACATTACTGCCAAGGCAAGGGTGAAAAATGGGCAGAAGATTCTTGTCCCCTTCCTCTCTTCTTGTATCAGCAGGTAAAATTTCACATAGCACATTGCAGAATTAATGATCTTACTAACATTTTAAAATTAAAATCTTAATGTGAAAAAAATCACTTTCTTAAAATGTATTAGTATTTCTTACTCTATGATATAGCGTATATCCCTTACCATATTAGGACACATTCATTCGTCTCTATTTTATTCTCGTCTCATCACCTGCTGCAAAGCCAGAATATTCCACAGGTTCCAACTTCTCCATGTTCTTGAAAATGGCATAATTTCCACTTTTCTCCTATGTTGAGTACACCTAAACACTTCTAAAAACTTGGCTTAACTGTATCCTCCCATTTAACAAAGCCAAAATATTTCCACGTACTATTTCTATTCACTCTAACCATTGAATTGATTTCATTCGTTTCCATTCTATCGTTCATTTTTTCAATGTCCTGTAATGTAATTTTTGTCATAAATCAGTTGTTCATCTATGTGAGAAACTACATCTCAAATATCTTTATTGTTCCATTGCTATATTTCCTTGGGCTTTTATTAACACTCTAACCTTTATTTGAGAAAAAAAAAAAAGCCCTTTTATTTGAAAATTCAGAATAAAATTTCCAACTGTTGTTCTTCATGACTTTCATGGCTCTTCTTGGCTGGCATATACTTTGCATTCTACATGTTTTAGAAACAATGTGTATATTTTTCGATATGTTCAGATTTTCTTTGAGATTAAATTGACACTAGGTCAATTTAAGGAAGATTGTTGTCTTTATAGTACTGTGTCTTTCAAATAATTAATGTAGAAAATATATGTATCTTTCTTAATAAAGGAATTAGACTGTATTTTGTATAAGTATACTACAGAGGTTTTGCACATTTATTAGGTGTATTTTATTAAATGATTTTTTCTAGCAATATTTCTTGCTTTAAAGCCTTCTTATATATTATGATAGCTACATCAACTTTAGTCAGTGTGGGTGTGCCATACTTTTCAATTTTTTGACTTTCTTGCATGTAAAATATGTTTCTTATAAGTGAAAATTTTTAATGTAAGATGAAAGCCTTTGTCCTTGAATACTTAATACTTATGCATGATTTATATTTCTGACATATTTATATTCAAATCTATTATTTCAGTATATTATTTTTATTTATTTATGTCCTATGTACTTTTATTTCTTACCTTTCCTGATTTCATTATTTTTTATTCCATCTATCCCTCATAGTTTTTTGTTTAGTGACTATTTAACTGATACTATTTACTTGCTTTATATATTAAAATATAATTAGTTCCTTTGCCACTTCTCTATTTTTTTTTACAACCCCTCAGCTTAGGTACTTCTTCTAACACATATTTTCTGTGTGTTATAATCCAAAACATATTATTGTTTCAATTATTACACGTTTTTGTTGTCACTGATACAATTTTTATTTAGATATACCCACACATTTATATTTCCTCTTACTCTGCATCCCTTTATCTCACATCTAAAATTCTATCTGGATTATTTTTCTTCTGATTAAAAAATAAAAAACGCTTTGAAATTTCCTTCAGCATAGATCTATTGAAGAAAAAGTTATTGCTCTTATCTGTGTGAAAATGTCTTTTATTTATTTCATCTCCTTGTCTTTTTAAGCATATTTTCTCAATATATTGCATTCTGTTAGTGGTTATTTTCGTTCAGCATTGAAAAATTTTCATTATATGGTTTTCCAGCTTCCATTGTTTCTGCTGAGAGATCAGATCAGACGTTGTTCTTATTACAGGCCCTAGGCGGACCATTGATCCTGTGAAGGCAATATATGTTTTCTATTTGGCTAATCTTAACACTTTATATTCTCTTTGTTTTTGTGTGCTTATAATTTGATATGTCAAGGTGTGATTTTTTGCTTTAATTTGCTTCAGATTTATGGTTACTCTTGATTCTCGATTATCTTCAGTGTATTTTAAAATATTTTCAGCTACTGTTTTTGTTTCAAAAAGTTGAGAGACTGCCCCATTGTCTCTCAGGTTTCATTATGGCCATGCAGTTACAGATATTTTAAATTTAACTGTAGTATACACAAGTTTTGAACATGCAGGCTTCATTATGGATATTCCTTCCAGCCTATCTTCTAGGTCACTAATCATCTCTTCCATTGTTTAATCTCTTTTTCCAGTTTTTATTTTTTCTTCATTTGCTTATTATATTTTTCAATTCCAATATTTATGTGATTCTTTACTCTAATTGTCATCTTTCCAAAATACTACCCTAACACTTAATTTTTTGACCCTATCAATTAGAAATATAATAATTTTTATATATGTGTATATATATATATAATTATTATTATTATTATTTTTGAGATGGAGTCTCACTCTGTCGTCCAGGCTTGAGTGCAGTGGCGCGATCTCGGCTCACTGCAACCTCCACCTCCCGAATTCAAGCGATTCTCCTGTCTCACCCTCCACAGTAGCTGGGAATAGAAGTGAGTGCCACCGCACCTGGGTAATTTTTTGTATTTTTAGTAGAGACAGGGTTTCACCATGTTAGCCTGGATGGTCTCCATCTCCTGATCTCATGATCCTGCTGCCTCGACCTCCCAAAATGCTGGGATTACAGGCATAAGCCACTGCGCCCGGCAAATATTTATATTTAATATCTGTATCATCTGCTTTTATATGTATATCTTCTATTGTTTGGTATTTGTTCTTGTTTCTTTTTCGATTATACCTTGTCATTACACAATTCTACTTATTTTTAAAGCAGTACCAGATATACAATCTGACACATTATAAAGATATTTTAAGACTGAATAATGCCATCTCCCTTCAAAAACGATTTTTGTTTTGGGCAGGAAGCTGGGCTCCAGTTGGTTCACTTCAGGGGTGCTCAGTCTTTTGGCTTTCCTGGGTCATATTGGAAGAAGAATTGTCTTGGGCCACATATAAAATACACTAACACTAATGACAGTTTATGAGCTTAAAAAAAAGTTGCAAAAAAAAAATCTCATAAGTGCTTTAAGAAAGTTTACAAATTTGTGTTGGGCCACATTCAAAGGCATCCTGATCCACATGTGGCCTGCAGGCTGCAGGTTGGACAAGCTTGCTTTAAACCAATAAATGATTGAGTGTTTTAAGTTAGGTTATTAACAGTTCACCTTATTAGTAGGCTTTACCCCTTTAAGGCTCTAACTAAAGTCATGGATTCTTACCAATTCCTTACTTTTCTTAGATCCTGTGAACTTCAGGGTTTTTTAATTTTTTAATTTTCTTAGTTTTTTTGAAATTGATAAAAGCCAACTGAATTTCTATAAAACAATATTTTAAATACGTAGTACTATAGAGTGAAAAATGCAATGATTTCTCGGTTCCTTACTATTTTTATACCTTCACTTCTAAATCTGAGCCCTGCCAGTTCTCTCTGCCTTGGTATCCTTTCCAATAACTTTTAAAAAGTGCCTACACACAAAGAGACACATTTTATTCATTTAAGCCTATTGTCCTCAGTTTAGTGGGGTTTTCAAAAACAACATAGTCCAACATTACCAAAAGTGAAATCTTATCAAATGTGGTCAATATGTTACTTCATGATTCTGCTATTGACTAACTTTCATTGAATTGTTTTTTTAATTAATTTCTTTACTTATTTTATTGTTAGCTGATCTTCAGAGATGACTTTTAAATTTTTATTATATTTTTAAAAAGAGTATTATATGTGGTGGCATGGTTTTAGAAGCTTTATTAGTATGTTTAATAATTTTTAATAATAAATAATTATTAATTACTGAAGTGATGTATTTTTTCCTGGTCATGCTTTCCAAGTGTACAATCAATCTCAAAGGAATATTTACATTCATTTATGGCCTGTGGATTCTGATCTACTGTGAATGGGTCTAATCTAACTGTTAATAGTTAAAAGAGACTGTGGAATTGGATTTTGATATCCCTCAGAAGACATTAACCCATCAAAACAGAGACTTTGCTTCCTTGTTCTTTCTCTGAGATGGTGGTAGAGTTTTAAGTCTGTTAAACTGAGAATTAAGATCTCTGATTTTCTCAGTTTTCTCAAGCATTTACGTTTCCACTGCCAATAGGAAACTAATACATAACTTAATAGAGCTGTGTTGGGAGATGTCCCAAAAGTTCATATAACCTGAACTGAGTAACAGTTAATAGTTTGGGCTTTGATAGGCTGTTTCCTGAAGCATGGCAACTGTGCTGAACTCCACAACCTGTGAAATTAAAATTTAACTGGGAAAACTCTTCTATCATGAGATTAATTTTTAATTCTCTAAAAATGAACTGTTATTACTTAAGTAACAAGAATATTTTAAGAACAATTTTAAAGGTTAGTTTTTATACTAAGTTGCAGTACCTTGACAGAAGAAGCTATCATGTAAACCTTTTTTTTTTCTTTTTGAATATGGCATTTAAGTGTTCTGTTTTCTGCATATTTTGAACATTTTAGGCTTGTCACTTCTAAATATTAGACATTTCTGAATGGACACTCTCTTCTTTAGTGTACATTTTCTATATTTGAAACTTCTGGTTCTTTTTCCATTCATCTTCTTTTCTTAGTAATATAATCCTAAATTGAATATGTGCTTATCCAGTATATCACCCAAGGTTTCTTCCAAACAGAACTCTAGAGGATTAAAAAAAACGATAACCAAACAATCAAGTGAGCAATGTTTATGCTTCTGTACTGCCATCCTTTTGTCTCTGTAGTTTTTTAAATTGCAACAAGATCTCTAGATTACTTAGCTGCAAGGATTGGCTAGTAACAGTGCTATCCAAGTTTCTTTTTCAGAATCCCAATGAAAAATAATATATTATCTCTCTATGCACATCTGAGTATCCTCTACTTTTTGCAGTTTTTAAATACTGCAAACACAAGCATCCCTTTCTGCCACCAGCTTTCCTGCTCCATGGAGGAATGATTCTTTCATCTGGATTAATATGCTAGTCACTCAGCTCCAGATGAGAAACATGATAAATTGGAAGTGTCCCTGGAAGAACAAATTCAATACTATTCACGAGTTCAAGAGCCTTCATGTTAGTGCTCTATCTAGTTTAAGGCGAGCTTGATCTTATTCCAAAAATGTCCCCATATCCCCAATAAAACCAGCTCCTCCTTGCTTCATTCTGCCCAACAGGCCTATAAATTCATTTGTGATATGTGGTCTTAAACAAGACCAATTATGATTGTCCTGCATGAACTTGCCCCACATATGTCATCCCCTTTTAAAAAGGCTTCCTTTTCTGCAAAATAAAATGAAGTGCTAGATACAATGGATTTAAACAAATTTAAAGCATTATTCTGAATTCTTAAAGTAAATGTTGCTAACGAGCTAGCCACATAGCACCAGAAAAAATAGGAGAAAGGGATAATGGTTTCCAGGAAATAATGCAATTTAAAATAATACACAGAGTACAAAATTTAGAACTCTGTGTATTTACAGTTTTCAAATTTAGAACTTAGAGAACTCAATGTCTAGAAATAAAACTGATTTTCTATTAATAATTATTTTATTTCTTGATGTTGAGTACAAGATAATAATCACATATAGTGAAAGTAACTGATTTTCTGTTTATTTTTAATTTCTCTATTTTCTTTTACTGGTAACTAGAAAGTGTTAGATGCATTCACACAGAAGATAAAATCTATGTGGAAATAAATGAACGGTCATTTTAAAACAGTATGCTCTAGGGCTGATTTATGGCAATTTAAGATGTTTATCACTCTTTCTTAGTTCTTATTCTCTTTTCATTTTTATATTGTGACAATACAGACCACACAGCTTCTAGGTAGGCATGTCAAAATGCTGGAAGCCCAGACAATATCAGTAATTTATCCTAGGTAATCAGCTTCACACATTCTGCTGAATTCAGTTCACTATAGACTGACTGGTACACAGTGTACCTTGTTATTGCATGTACAATTTGAAAAATTACTTAGCAGAAATAGGCTTTCGCTTGCTGAAAATGTTGGTTTAATTTGCACTATAAGACATAGTCTATTTGGTTGAAGGAGCATTATTTAATTTTCCTGTAATTAGAATTTATGAAAACCTAAATTTACTGGCATACTATATGTAAATTATCCAAGTGATGTATAGATTGTTGTCAGGTAGCTGACTGGCTAGCTGCCCTGAATCCAACATGGCTACCCTAACACTACCTTTCCTGCTGGACTTCAGGGAAAATCACTCAATATTAATAGCTCAACAGTTCTACAAATCTGTATTTGATTTTGTGCTTTATGAGTCCAGCTGGTTTTTAAAAGTTGAAATAAATAATTTTGCCTAAATTAACAGCATTCTTGACAATCTGTTTTATGATATTTACCCTTGAATCCCACTATGACTTATAAATTGGAGAGGGTTGATTTACTCTGACAGGGGAAGGGAGAGAAGGAAGTGGTAAGAAGGTAACTCGCTAGCTCCAAGTAAAGGAGCATGACTAATCAAAGCCCAAAGTTGATGTTATTGGCCATGTTTTCAGAAACCCTTGATTTACCTAACTACTTATTTCAGCATTTTTTATATATTTTGTGCTTCATAATATGTACTCAAGATAAAACAAATGTTGTGAAATACAGATATATCTGTGTGGAAGGAGATAAAATGAAGAAAGGAACTTAAACAAAAAGGAGCCAGAACTTAATGGTTTTGAGAATTCTATCCTCCTCAGAGAACAAATTATGCTAAAATTAAGTAATGGCTTTAGAACAAAGATCAAATCCAGAATACTGCCAGGAGAATGTGGTTTAAAAAGAAATCTATATCCAGGTGTGGCGACTTATGTCTGTAATCTCAGCACTTTGGGAGGCCGAAGCAGGAGGATCACTTGAGGCCAGGAGTACCAGACCAGCCTGGGCAACAAAACAAGACACTGTCTCTACAAATTCTTTTTTCTTTTAAATTAGCCAGACATTGTGATGCACACCTGTAGCCCTAGCTACTGGGGAGGCTAAGATGGGAGGATCTCTTCAGCCCAGAAGTTGAGACTGCTGTGAGCTATGATTGCACCACAGTTCTCTAGCCTGAAAGAGACCCTGTCTCAAAAAAAAGAAAGACAGAAAGAAAGAAGGAAAGAAAGAAAGAAAGAAAGAAAGAAAGAAAGAAAGAAAGAAAGAAAGAAAAACAAGCAAGCTAAGTGTGTAAGTGCAACTCCTTTTTTTCAAACACCTCAAAATGATTACAGGTAGAGTCTTGTGCCTCAGGATCTTCTCAAAGCATGAAAGTTGAGAAAGGTTTACCTTGAAGAGATTTGGAGGATGGGGAAGCGGGATTTTGTACATTGGGTGGAATCCCAAGCTCATGATCAAGAAACAGTGCTTAAAAGTGCTATATATTCAGGAACATTCCCAGTTCAGGCTGAAGAATAACAGTCAGTGTGGAATAAGGAGAGGCCTTTGGACCCCGTAATGCTACATGCAGGAAGCCAGCCTGTCTCACCATTATATTTTTGATGTCTAGAGGCAGGTAATGTACTCCTTAGTTTTACAAGTACAGACTAAAAGGATCTGTACTTACCGTGTTATAATTCGGGAACTAGAATAGAGGCAAATTATTCCCATTTGGATCTGATGAATGGAAAGATTCTGAGCTTTGAGATGATGGTATAATGAGAAGAGGTTTTGGGGGACCTGAAGTAGAGGAGTGTATAGTTTCTTTGTGGAAGGAATGTGTCATTAGGAGTTAGAGGGATGACTATGGTAGGTAGCTTCTAACACAGCCCTGTGATCCTTGCCTCCTAGTATTCATGCCCTTGAGAGCCCTGAATTCTATACCTCTGTCTAATAAATAAAATAAGGCAGAAATGATGAATGTCACTCTTAAGATTAGATTATCAAAAGACTGTGGATTCTGTCTTTGGCACTCTTAAATTTTCTTGAGTTGCTTGCCCTGAGAGAAACCAGTTTCAATGTCACATGAAGAAGCTGATGTGAAGGACAGAGACCTGAATAATTAATTAAATAACTAATATTGCTGAATATTCATGTAAGCCAAAATGATCTATATATTAACTGTGGTCCCTAACAAAATCCAATGTAATTTTACACAGAAATAGAAAAAACCATCCTACAGTTTGTATGGAACCAGAAAAGACCCCAAGTAGCGAAAGCAATCTTGAGCAAAAAGAAGAAAGCTGGAGGTATCACATTCCCTGATGTCAAAATGTATTATAAAGCTAATGTAATAGAAACAGCATGGTACTAGCATTAACAAGAGACATTTCAACCAATGAAATGGAATAGAAAGCCCAGAAATAAACCTAGTTATCTTCTATCAATTGATTTTCAACAAAGGTGTCAGAAACTCTCACTGGCAAAATGACAGTCTCTTCAATAAGTGATGTTGGGAAAACTGGATATGCACATGAAAAATAATTGGACCTTTATCTTTTTTTTTTTTTTTTGAAACAAAGTCTCACTTTGTTACCCACGCTGCAGTGCAATGGTATGATCTTGGCTCATTGCAACCTCCACCTCCCAGATCCAAGAGATTCTCCTACCTCAGCCTCCTGAGTAGCTGGGATTACAGGCACCCGCAACCATGCTCACCTAATTTGTCTGTGTGTGTGTGTGTGTGTGTGTGTGTGTGTGTGTGTAGTGGAGACAGGGTTTCACCATGTTGGCCAGGCTGGTCTTGAACTCCTAACCTCACTGGATCTGTCCACCTTGGCCTCCCAAAGTGCTGGGATTACAGGCGTGAGCCACCTTGCCCAGCCGGGACCTTTATCTTATGCCATAGACAAAAATCAAATAAAAATGGATAAAATACTTGTGATAGTTTGGATGTTTATCCTCCTTAAACCTCATATTGAAATTTGACCTATTTATTACCACTGAACTGTACACTTAAAAATGGCAAAGATGGTACATTTTATTTTTTTTAATAGCATGTTGCCTTCACTAACACAAATTATTTTTAAAAAGAAATTTGATCCCCAATTTTGGAAGTGGGACCTAATGGAATGTATTTGGATCATGGAGATGGATCCCTCATGAATGGCTTGGTGCAGTCCTCTTGATAATGAATGAGTTCTTGCTCTTTTAGCTCCTGTGAGAGCCAGTTGTTAAAAAAAGCCTCGCAGCTCTGCCCTTGCTCTCTTGCCAGCTCTTTTACCATAAGAACTCTGCATACTTTGGCTCCCCTTTGCCTTCTGCCAAGTGGAAGCAGCCTGAAATTCTCACCAGGAGCAGATGCTGGTGCCATTCTTCTTGTACAGCCTGCAGAACTATGAGCCAAATAAACACCTTTTGTTTATAAATTACCCACTTTCATTTACAGCAACACAAATTGACTAAGAAAACACTTAAATGTAATACTTGAAACTATAAAGCTAGTAGTAGGAAACATAGAGGAAAAGTTCACAACATTGGTCTGGGCGATGATTTCTTGAATAGAACTCCAAAAGTAGAGGCAACAAAAGCAAAAATAAACAAATAAGAGTGCATCAAACCAAAAAGCTTCTGCACGGAAAAGGAAACAAAAGACTGAAGAGACAACCTACAGATAGGGAGAAAATATTGACAAACGATGATTCTGTTAATGAGCTAATATCCAAAATGTACAAGAAATTTCAACTGAGTAGAAAGAAAACAAATAACCCTATTAAAAATGGGCAAAGGATCTGAACAGACATTTCTCAGAAGAGGAGATGTGAATAGCCAATGGATACTTGAAAAATCCTCGACACTTCTAATCATAAAGCAAATATAAATTAAAAACAAAATGAAATATTGCCTCATACCTGTTAGAATGGCTATGATAAAAAAGGAATAGTGACACATTGGTGAGGATGTGGAGAAAGAGAACTTTTGTATACAGTTGGTGGGAATGAAAATTAATTTATTTTGGGAAATAGCATAGAAGTTCTTCAAAAAACTAGAAATAGAATTACTATATGATTCAGCAATTACACTTCTAGATATATATTCAAATGAACTGAAGTCAGTATGTTGAAGAGAAATCTGCACTCTCTAGCCAAGTGTGGCGGTGCGTGACTGGAGTCCCAGATGCTTGAGAAGCTGTTGTAGGAAGATCACTTGAGCCCACGAGTTTGAGTTTGCTGTGAGCTGTGATCATGCCACTGCTCTCCAGCCTGGGCAAAAGAGTGAGTGAGACCTTTTCTCAAAAAATAAATAAATAAATAAATAAATAAATAAATATATATATATATATATGTGTGTGTACTCTCATGTTTATTTTAGCATTATTCACAACATGAAGACATGGAACCCACCAGACTGCCCTTCATTTCTTTCATTTATTCATGTCTGGCAATGAATAAATGAATGAAAAAAATGATATATTATATATATACATATACACGATAAAATTCTATATAGTCTTAAAATATAAGAAAATCTGTCATTCGGAACAATATAGATAAAACTGGAAGACATTAAATTAAATGAAATATGCCAGGCACAGAAAGACAATTACCATATGATTTTACTTACATGTGGAATCTAAAAAAAAGTCAACCTCATAAAACCAAAGAGTAGAAAGATGGTTACCAGAGGTTGGGGTGGGGCAGGGGAAGAAATGGGGAAAGGGGATATATTGTTCAGAGGGTGCAAAGTTTCAGTTATACTGGAGGAATAAGTTCTACTGATCTACTGCACTGCATGGTGACCACCATTAATAATAATGGTTTGTATATTTCAAAATTGCAAAAAGAATATATTTTTTACTTTCTCACCACATAAAAATAATTTGATGGAGTGACAGATATGTTAGTTAGCTTAAGTGAATCTTTCTACAGTGTATACATAGATCCAAACATCACATTGTACCCCATAAATATGCATAATATTTGTCGATTAAAAAAATAAAAATAGGTAAATAAGTAAATTAAAAGAAAAATCTTATATTTATTTGCTACTTAAAATATATTATACAATTAATTTTGCATGTTTATTTGTGCTTCTTTTAAATATGGCCACTATAGTGTGCTAAACTATAACTGTTCCTTGTTTAATATTTCTACTGAACTACCTTGGTCTAAAGCATACATTTCCATAAAGTTTAAAAGGGAAAGAATGGAAGTGATGACTTAGTAACAGAAGCTTGCACTTTGTCCAGAAAGCAAGAAAGAAATAGAGGACTAGGGCTGTGGCAAAGAGAGGCTAATACAGTGCTTCCTGATACTAATTCATCTTGGCTGTATAGATAACATACAGATTCCTAGATCTCACGCTAGACCTATGAAATCAGCTTATATAAACTCTTCCCTGTTATTCATCTGATTATATTATATTAATCAGCAAGATTTAATAATTAGCAGAGTGTTCCAAATCCAATATTCTATGAACCAAATCTTTTTTGAGGTGCTTCAGTGCATATTAGTCTGCTAAACCTGTTAAAACAAAATACCACAGATCAGGTGGCTTATACAACAGACATTTATTTTATCACAGTTCTGGATGCTGAGTATCCAAGATCACAAATGTCTTCAGGTTAGGTTTCTCTTAGGACCTCTTTCCTTGGCTTGCATATGTCCGCCTGCTTGCTGTGTTCTTACAGTGCCTTTCCTCTGTGTGAGAGCAGCCCTGGTGTTTCTTGATCGTCTTAAAGTGGTATCAGTGATATTAATTTAGAATTTCACCCTTATGACACCACTTAAACCTATTAGGTTGTTGCAAAATAACTGTGGTTTTGGCCATTAAAAGTAATGACAAAACCACAGTTATGTTTGCACCAACTTAAGAATTATCTGTTTATTAGTTCCGTCTCCAAATACAGTTGTATTGGGGCTTAGGTCTTCAGCATATGAATGTTGAGGGGACAGAATTTGATCCATAACCACATGTATTTAAAAAGATGTCTTACAAATAACAAACCAAACCAAAAAAGCAAACAAACAAAATCTGACTCTCTCTTCTAATTATTCCATCTATACAGTGCTTATCATTTACTAAATTTTGCACTAGCTCCATTGTCAATAAGGAAAGACACATTCACTTTTCTACTTACCAGTCATAACTATACTTACTGAATTTTCAATTAATAATGCCTAGTCTCAGGCTGTAAAATGTAGAGTCAAATGAACTTGTCCTACAACCAGCTAATACCTGAGGTTTCTAATCCTTAAATTAACATATTTTCTTTCCTTTTTCTTAAATCAAATGAAATAATACTAGTAAAAGTGCCTTGGAAATATTGCTTCACCTAGAAAGAATTATTGCTAAAATAAATCAATACAAATTTTCAGAAAATGGCTTTGTCATAAGTATATTGCTGTACATTTACTCTTAGAATTGTGTATTAGACTCTGCTATGCATTGCTTTGAAGAAATACCTAAAGCTGGGTAATTTATTTTAAAAAAATGGTTTAATTGCATCACAGTTCTGAAGGCTACACAGGTAGCATAGCTCCGGCATGTACTCAGCTTCTGGTGAGGGCTTCGACTGCTTACAATCATGGCAAAAGGTGAAGGAGGAGCTGGCATCTCACACATAGAGAGTGGAATCAAGGGAGGGGAAGATGTCACACTCTTCTAAACAACCGGATCTTGAAAGAACTCACTATCACGAGGACAGCACCAAGCCGTGGGAAATCTGCCCTCATGACCCAAACACCTCCCTCCAGGCCCCACCTCTAACATTAGAAATTACAATGCAACATGAGATTTGTCAGGGGCACATATTCAAACTATATCACATTGTATTGCTATGTGTGTGCATGCATGCATGCGTGTGCCCATGATTGCTTGCGAAATGAAGAAGCCTCTTAGGTTGAGTTCTCCACAATCATGTCCCAAATAAGAATTTGCCTTTAAAGGACTTCTTAAGAAACTGCTGGAGGCAAAACTGATAAGGAGGTGAAGGAAATAGGACAGAAAATGAGAAATAGCTGAGCAAATTTGTGGTTTGGCAAAGTCCCAACCTCAGGTACTTCCTGCTTATTGCACTTGCAGGCACAGCAGGTTAGTAGTTAATGGGTAATCCAGAGAGAAGAATAGAGACAATTAGTAGTAAAATACTTAGAAACCAGAGGATGAGTACACAAAACGAAAAAGAGGGATTAATGTGGATGTGGGTGGAGGACTGAGGTTGGCTTAACTTTGTAGATGACAGTGGAGAATATCTTTCTTGACTTGGAACGGCACTAACTAATCATGCCCTTCCCACTTAGCAATGCAGCATTGTTCTTTACTCAAATCTAGATGAAAAGGTTTAAATACAAATCTTCTCAAAGAAAGATGAGAAGTTGAATATTCGTGCAAATTTTCCTTCTACCAGATTCTTTTAGATTCTTTCTTCACATACACAAAAGATGGAGACAGAAAAAGAGAGGAACATTAATGGAGTAAGGCTTTCACAAGCAGCAGTGTCTTCACAATTTGCCTGGAATTTTTTGGTCTCATTTATTATTAATTATGGATATGGAAGTATTTTATTTATGTTGTTGGTTGTCTTTGTTGTTTCACACAACAGTTGACTTTTAGTGTGCATTTTGCACTAAAATTCTTTGCTAAGAAATTCAGAGGAAGTTTAAAATGCACACTCAAATTAAGTCATATTATTCGTGATAGAGTCAATAATTAAAGGAATTGCAAGGTAGATTATAGTCTTAGGTTTTCTTTAAAATCTAAATGCTAAATTCAATAAAATGTCTTCATTTTGATGTGATCTGTTTTCCACAAAGTATCCATAGTCTGCTAAGCATAGAACGTTAGTGTTGAGGCTTTTTCGTTTCCGTAATTTGGCAAGTGGGAGGGACTGGTGCCCAGCAGTTTCTTCACTCCTGTAGCTTGGTGAGTGGAAAAGAGTGTTACAGCTCTTTTACTCCCACCGCCTGCAGTTCAATGAGTGAGAGCATTACAGCTCTTTTACTCCTGTAGTTTGGCAAGTTCCAGGTTCTTGTCCTGCAACCAAGAGGAATAAGGTAGGTGGACACCAGAGAGTGAGTAAGGCAAAGTAGAATTTTATTGAGTGACAGAAAGAAAGCTCTCAGCAGCAAGAGGGGGCCCAAAAGTGGGTTGTCGTCTGTGAGGCTGAGTGCAGGATTTTGATGGGCTTGGGATGGGGGAATGTGTGCTGATTGGTCCATGGGTGGGCTTGGATAAGGCAACATTTAACTGGTTAAAAGACATCATTCAGAAGGAACCATCTGAGAGAGAGTGATTAAGACAAGTATAAAAGTTCTCACTCTGGTCATGGACTTTATCTGAAACTAGCAGATTGGCTTTCAGGCTTTCGTCTTTGGCCTAAAGGTCAAGTTTCTGGACCTGTCCCTGTCTGCCTAGGAATTTGTCTGTGTCCTGTCACTATCATTAGTCAACTCATAAATGAACAAAATGGCTGAGTTTTTGTAAAGTCAAGAATAACCCACAATGGACTAAATAGGTTTCTGCCAAATTCACTGGTTGAAATCCTAACTACTGTTGTGATGGTATTAGGAGGTAGGGCATTTGGGAGGTAATTAGATCATGAGTGTGGAGCTCTCATGAATGGGATTAGTGTTCTCATACAACAGGGCCCAGAGTTCTCTCTAGCTCTTTTTTTTGTTCTTTTGGTTTTTTTTTTGTTGTTGTTGTTGTTGTTGTTTTTGGCCTTGTGAGGGCACAACAAGAATGCACCAGTTGGCATCTTGGAAGAAGGTCCTTACTAGATCATGACCATGCTGGTGCCCTGATTTCCAACTTCCAGCCTCCAGAATGTAAGAAATAAATTTCTGTTGTTCATAAGCCACCTAGTCTATAGTTACTTTGTTATAGCTGCAGGAGCTTACAAAGACAATATGATAAGCTTATTTTTAAACATTATCTTAGTTACACATTCAAATAATAAAGTCAATATTTTTCTTTTAACCTCCAGACACTTTTTCAGTGGGGGAACTTTTAAAATATAAAACAATGGGCTCAATTGTTAACCTGAAAAGAACTAAACTTTTTTATTGTGTGTCCAAAATTTTTGTAATTTTCATGTTCAGATTTAGTTGAAATGGTATTGTGATTTATTAACTAAAATAATTTAATTTATAAAATTAGAAAAATATATTACAGAATATTCTAGTTGATTATGTTGGTTGATATAAATGGAAATCCACTGAAATCTTTCTCAGAAAAAGAAAGATTTGATGTATATGAAAACTCATCTCCTGAACTTCAAAGTACAGGTCTCAGAGATTAGAACTGGAAAGTAGGAACTAAGTGACTCCAACTTTCAGTGTCTAAGTGGTTTCTCTTATTTTTTTTCTATCTTCATTAGCCTTGTATATTGCCCAATATTGTCCCTTATCCTGACTTTACATAATCATTGTTTCCCTTGAATAGTCATTTTCTATCAGCAGTCATTGCTATGTCTCAGTACAAATACTAAAGAATGAGGAATTTTACATCTTGACTCTGAATCAAATGTCCCTCATTGGTTCTATCAGGTAAGCTGGAGGCATAGATTTGGCCACATAGCCCTAACACTCCTTAATTTATTTTTTATTTCCCCTTGATACAAAAAGATGTGAAAGATTACCATGGATCAACAGTCACACAAAGCTATAGATTCATTTCTGACCCAGAGAGACCTGAAAGACATATCTAACTACAGGAAGGTTACAGAGCCAATTCTTTCTTAAGTAAAAGCCTAACTGCAGTTGTCCTTAATGTACTTTTTTATATTTCACTTTTTAAATAATTTGGAAAATACATTTTTAATTCCTATGTCAAGTACCCAGCAGTTATTATTATTGGTACATTATTCTCTTAAAGTGCATTGAAAGCCAGTGAACTAATATCTGTCCTAGCTTTCTATAATAACTGCTCCATTTCAGTCTGATGGAATGTAAAGCTACACCCTGAATTTTTATAGCATAAGCCTCAATTGATACAAATATCAATAACATATAACGGAAATATAGATAATGAAGACTTTTTCTTTTTATATTTTCTCTTACAATGTCAAAAGACACATGAATTGATATATTCTTACAACAAAAAGATCTATTTCATTATCTCCTAGAAACATGTTAATATATTTGTCTGTTGTTTCAAATATAAAGAAAGAAGTTTAGCTTTGGTGAACAGCTTTCCTTATAGAGTGCTTTAAATCATACAGTGTTAATTAAATTTATATTTGCTACTTTTATTTAAAGAACTCCATAGCAGTAGTAAAGGGTAGTTGGATTTTTATACTTTTTTTTTTAACTGGCCTCAAAACTTTCTTGAGAAGATGGTGAGCTTTTATCAGGACTTTTTAAAGAAACTGTATAATTTATTTTCCTACTTTTGATTATATTGGCTAATATAATACAAGCCTGTAAAATAAGAGTATTTGGGCTTCTTGGTAAAATGGAATAGAATTATATTACTTTTCTTTAGTACAGGATGAGATTTAATTGTGTTCACTTCGTAAAGATTTGCAATTTGAAGATAAAATCAAGGACAAAGACATAGTAAGTTTCAGAAAATACATTTTATTTAATTTATTTAATTCATTGAGCTACATAGTCATGTATTCTCTGATAATCTTAACAAAATTTAAACTGCCTCTTCTCTAATGGCCTAAAAAAAGTTTCAAGAACAATATTTCAAAAATGGATATTTGGATAAATGCCCATTTTAAACAGTCAACATCTTGTGTTTGAGATGATAAATTACTTATACGACTGATGGCTTACTTCTTTCCTGTAAATTTATACTCAGCTGTTACTTTATTGATTTGTTTAAGGAACGCTTAAATATTAATCCCTTTATGTTCAATTCTGATAGAACTTGCAATGCTCTTGTATCTATTTCAAATTAACAAGGAACTTTTTTCCCAAATTTCACACAAAGAGCCTAAGTGACTACTTTCTATTTTTTCTGAAAGAATAACTGCTAATTAAATGGGGGGAAAATCCTCACAACTTATCCCAGTTAAAACCATTTCTTTTTAAATTTAAATATTTACTTACTAGGCAGGTTTTACAAGATCATGAAGCTATATCAAGCCATATGCCTGGGAGAACTATACAGTTGGGTATTTCTCAGATTGGTTTTATACTGGGAGATAAATACAGACTATACTGGATTCTCTGAAAGTCATGATGCAGCTTAGATGAACATTACATGATACTACTATTCTTTTTCCCCTGAGTCAGCCTCTCCGGAAATTTCAACAAGCTGTTCTACTGGCCTCTATACAGAACTTGGCAGGGGTTACAGCTAGCGGTATGCAGCAGCTGAAGTCATTTCTGTTTGACAGAATCCATAAAGCCAAACACTGTAATAGCTTTCCTGATGGAATTTTAGTGGGAAGCTCTTTGTCTTGTTACCATTGCCATTTGCACTCAAGCTGGACCTTCACCTGTGGGGAATGATCATGATGCTCTGTGGTCTCTGTTTCCACATGTGACCCCTGATCAACTGTAGAGTGGCAATTTTTCCTCAAAGTGAATTTGATACTGGGCAAAAATGCTGTCAGAGAAAGTTCTCATTCTCTAAGGACCTCTCTGAATTGTAGCAGTGGCCTTCTAAAGTAACAAAAGGCAAGCTCCTAAGTTACTGGATGCTTTTTTTCCTGCTCTAACCTTTAGGGTAGGCCATTGGAATGAGTGTATAATCTACAGTGGCCGCCTACAACTTCAGAATAACATGCTAGAGCAGAAAAGAATATAACATTGGAATAATTTGGATCTTCTCTTTCCTTCCTAGGCTTGATTTTAGCTTTATATATGTTCTTCTTTTAACTGAACCAAAGGTAATGTTCAGCAGTGTTTTGGGAAGTTTTATTCTGAAAATTTAAAATTGTTCCCTGAGAAATCCTTGTGACTACTTTAAGTTCAGAAGCATTCAAAAAACATTAGCTTAGACTACATTCCATTTGAATAACTGATTACCCCAATGTAAAATAAAATTAAATACAACAGTATTTAATAATATGAAACTTCAAGGCATGTATTTCTAAGTTCACAATGTTGTTTTGAGGCTTTAAATCACATCTGATATTGCAATGATGCCCAGGTCCAAGAAGCTCTGTGAACTGGGTCATGCCAAACCACGTTAAAAAAAAATGGTTTAAGTAGAACATGCTTTATTTTCTAAAAGGTTTACATATAATTATATATATAATATTTAAATATATATAATAAATTATATGTGTGTGTGTATGTGTTTGCATACTTTTTTAAAAAAGAGTTTATTCCTGGTCACCATGAAATCAGTTTTAATGTTACCACATTTCACTTAATATTTTATTAGGGCAAATTCAATGAGCAAAGTTTAGATCTGGCAATGCTCTTTGATATTATAAATATTGGCTTGACTTAATTGAAAGTTATATGTACATATCTAAAAAAGTAGAATTCAACCCAGTTTTATTACACTGGCAGTAGAGTAATGGATCAAATATAATAGCATAAAATCTAAATTTTGCGTGGGTGGCAAATTGGCTATGCAATTAATGGATAAAAGTTCTAAAATACAACAAAATTGATCAATATGATAACTGACCATTGGACCAACTATTCTATTTATAAAGTTAAATGAAGAAATATTGATGTCACAGAAGTGCAGGAAAATTTAGTATACTTACGTAATTTTAGAAGAAAAATAAAGCTGAAATTTCATGTTAAATCTAAATAATTGAAAATCGATTAAATTATTCAAATCAAAGACAGCTGATAATAAAACTGAAATATTGGCCGTGGGCAGTGACTCACGTTTGTAATCCTAGCACTTTGGGAAGCCGAGGCGGGCGGATCACGAGATCAGGAGTTCGAGACTATCCTGGCTAACACGGTGAAACCCCGTGTCTACTAAAAATACAAAAAATTAGCCGGGTGTGGTGGCGGGTGCCTCTAGTCCCAGCTACGCAGGAGGCTGAGGCAGGAGAATGGAGTGAACCCGGGAGGCGGAGCTTGCAGTGAGCAGAGATCTCGCCACTGCCCTCCAGCCTGGGCTACAGAGAGGGACTCCGTCTCAAAAGAAAAAAAAAAAAAAAAAAAAACTCTGAAATATCAGCATGAGAGATAAGTCTATTTTATGTTTTAAACAAAAAGCCCAAAATTAAAAATTCTAAATATGGACCTGAACATTTGCCAGTTCATTTTATAAATGTTAAAGTTACTAAATTATTATAATTATTGAAATTAAATATAAGTTAAACTTATGCCTGAGTATTATATTGTAGATTTACCAAAAAAAGTTCTACCACTACTTAGAATAAATATAGAACTATAACAATGATGCTATATTTGTTATGAAATAGCAAGTAATAGTAAAACATTAATTACTTTAAAAATGTGTAAAAATTTATTGTTCAAGGTTTAACCCAACTTTACCTTACTTTAAGCTGCTTGTCACTAGGGGAGAATGATAATTAGAGGGAAATATTATTAAAATAATTTTACTAATATTAGTGAATGTAGTAACAATAAAAGTCTGTCTCCCAACATGACTATCTCTATATTCTTTTTTTCATCATCTCCAATCACCCCTCTTTTATCTCACAGAAAATGACAATACTGCAAAAGCTTAAAATCCTTCTTTTGAGTTACTTAGAGCTGTATTCTCAATCTCTCAGTCTTTCCAAATCCCAAAGACATATTTCTACCCTCATATGCATTTCAATAACTACTTGCTAAAGTCCCATCTTTCATAATTTAAGAATCTATGCCAGGAATTACGTTGAATATAGAAAATGCTCCCATCTCTCCCTTCTTAAATATTTTGAGTTTTAAAGAATGGGAAAAACTAGAATTTGCCCCTAATCCACAGAAATATCATATAATAATATTCTTCTATTCAATTTGTATCCTCTGAATCCTTTCCTGAGTAAAAGCGGGTGTATATGGTAGCTTCATAGCATTTGTGAAGTTATTCTTTTTAAATTTCATTTACTTTGAACATTAAATATCAAGAAAAACATTTTCATATTGCTAGCTTGAGGAAGGCGTGTGAAGAGTCCAGGGAAATCACATTATTTATTCTTATCTTGTTTCTTTCAAGATAAACTCTTAAGCTTTGGTTTGAAGCCTGTGGGCTATCATACACCTGACCACACTTACGTCTGAATTTACCCTGTTTCAGATTCCCTAAGATTCTTGAATCTATAAATATAAGTCCCTCACTAAATATGGAAACATTTCAGCTATTATTCCTTACATGTGTTTTTTTTTTCTGCCCCATTCTCTTTCTTCCCCTCTGAAACTCAAATTCCATGGATGTTAGATATTTTGAAATTATTTCATCTATCTTTGAGGTTCTGTTAATTATTTTTCTTCAATCATGATTCTCCGTTTTCTTTATATTGGATGTTTTCTGTTGACTTATCTGGAAGTTAACTTTCTTCCGTCATATCCGTTCTACTACTAAGCATGCCCAGTGATTTTTTTTAATTTCAAGTATTTTATTTTTTGGTGTAGAATTTCATTTTTAAACTGTTTTGCTTCTCTTTTTTGTTTCATTTTATAAGTGTCTCTGTTTGCTCAATCATTCTTTCTCTTTACTTAGTGTGAAAGTATATTTCTTCACCTCACTGAGTATAGAAATAGTAGCTGCTTTAAAATTCCTAATAGTTCCATGTAATGGGTATAATGCATAATTTTGTGGTTGTCTTCTATTGATTTTTTTCCCTTGATCATAAGTCACATTTTTCAGGTTTCAATTTTGAGTTTTATCTAGAAACTGTAAATATTATTTTGTGTAAACTCTGTACTCTGTAGGAACTTTCTAAAATACTGTTGACATTTTTGATTCAGCACCCATTTAATTTGATTAAATTCAATTTTCAGCCTGCCACACTTGAGGCAGGCACTGGTTCATATTACTAGACTGTTCTTTATTCTTAGCTCCTACGTGCTTTCAGTTTCCTGCACACAGGTGGATCAGAGTCAATGAGATATGGTGAGTTTTAAACATTTGTAGTTGCTGTTTCCTGACTTGTTTTCATGTGGCATTTCTGGTAGCCTTGGTTCCCTAGATCCCTCTCTCAATCTCCGCCCGGAGAGAGGAATTGTTTCTTTTCATAGTGTTAGATAGTTTATTATTGTCTGTCTTTATTTTTTTAAGCCTCTTTAAATTATTTTAAGTGTGCCTCTTGTATATTGTTTATATTTGAGTAATGCTTTGTAAACCAAATAGAAATTCATTTTTAAAAGATGAATTAAAATATGACTTCTAATGTCTCAACTCTCAACTCTGTCATATTACTTTTTATCACAGTTACTGTATTTTATATAATATTACCTCTGTTTCTTTTTCTATATAATATTTCCTCTGTTTCTATGGAGTTGGTTTCTTGTCTTTTTATTTTATTTACTATTTTAGAAAGTTCTGTATTTTTTTCATGGTAGTTAACTTTGAATTTAGGACATTTTGTAGTGTTCTCATTTTTCTATATTTCACTTAGGATTTTATATCTGTTATTTCAGGTTTTGCTGGAATCTACATACTGCCTATAGAAGAGTGTTAATCAACTTATTCCCCTTTCCTCTTTTCCTCTTCATTCTTCTGCCATTTTTAGTGTTATTTCTATTTATTTCGGACCATAAAATATTTACATGTTATTCTTTCACCCCATCCCTTCCTTTATTTTAGGCTATTATTAGTTCAGAGTTTCTTTCTTTGAAATTGTTGAAAATGCAATGACATGGCTCTTTTCATTTGTATGCGTTTGAGAACTGTGATAGTCAAATATCTTGTCTTTTTATGTTACTGGATTTTTTTTCTTCGGATACCTAAGGTTTTTTCTTTTTGTTTTGTTTTTAGTAGCTTAGTAGTTCTTTGTTTTTGTTGCTTTGACTTTCTAGTAGTTTGACTAAAATGTATTTCAAATTGATTGTTGTGAAACAATTTTCTCAGGTACCCAGTGGACTAATTAATTTGTTAACTCAGGTCTTCTTCTTCTTCCTCCTCCTTATCTTTTGTTACCTCCTCCTCTTTCTCCCCCTTCTTTATCTGCGTTCTTGTCTTAATTTTCCTCTTCACTTTTTAATCAATGTGGTGTTTTCGTGGATTAGGGTGTCAACTAATATTTATGTCATGTATTTTATCTTTTTTCAGGAAGTTATGTTATATACATATTGGCTCTTTTTCTGACTGCCTTCATCTATACTTGCTCAAAACACATTTACTTGTTTTTCTATCTTATTTGCATAGTTGCTTCCCTGCTTTTCTCCATTGTCCCTAAGATTTAGGTGTTTTTTTTTTTTTGGTTATATAATCTCCTAGGTTACCTTGTAATTGAATATTTAATTCTTATACCAAATATTTTTTCAAAATTAATCTTTTTAAAAATTTTGTCTTTAATTTTATTTCTTACTCTTCTTTTTCTATTTCTTTTCTTAGTGTTTGAGTTGTTGATCTACATTTTTTTCATATCACAAAATACTTGTTTGAGCATATTTAACTCATCAGAGAGTTTTTATATTTTTTCTATAATTTTTTGAGAAATTTATATGTATACATCTGACATTACATTGGCAACCTACTTTTTGTTTAATTAGTTTTAAGTATAATAATATAATTATGAATTTGCATAATTATATAAAGGTTTTGAGAATGTTTGCGGTAACCATGGCATCTCAGCAGTAAATGACATTTAAAAGAGGCACAAATAGTCACCAAACTGTGGGAAGGAATGAAATAAAGGAATAGGAACAAAATTAAGAGATCAGTAAATTTATAAGGTGTGCTAGTATCTGCTTCATTATCTCAATATTAGATGTTTTAATTAGTATAATGTTTACTAAATATACATGGACATCATAGCAGAGATATTTACCAAAGTATGCTAAAATATCTAAGTAAAATGAACAACTTTTATTAGCTGAGACTATTTAATGCTGTTACTTCAATCTGATATGACATATTGTATAATACGCATGAGTCTTTACAGTGATAGAGATTTTGGCTTCATGCCTATATTTCACCTCTAATTTTGCAAACTGACAAAGTGTCTCTCTTTAGACATCAAAATGTAAATGGTATTTGTACTTTCCTCAGAGCTCTTCCATATTTTACAGCTGTTTCTGAGAAATATGCTTAGGGTTTAATCACTTGCTTCAGAATGGATGGAGAGACAGGTGCTCTGAAAGTTATAGGTATTTAAAATAGAGCTTATGCTGGGCTGTGTGTGAGCATATTTTAACTCTTATGCCTTCATGAGACAACAACTTTCTTTTAATCTCTCACCAAATACAATTGGATACTCTTAATTTTTTATTCTCCCTGCTCAATTTCACATTATGTTCCTAGTCCCTGACATAACAAAATACACAAAATGATTCTTGAATACTAAATAAATACAAGTTTGTTGTTTGATATATGACAGACTAAAACACTGTGGAAAATAAACTTCATATACAGTATGACTTGAGCATCACTCGTTCTTCATAAATGTGCTAACCTTAACAGTCATCAAGATACTTGCAACCAAAACATCATCAAAATATCATGTAAACATTGGAGTATTCATTGATCACTTAATAAGAACAAGCTTATATATGAAATGTTTAGCTATGCATTTGATATATAAACATCTTCTGTTATTCATTTTATTTTGTAGAGATTTTTCTGAAATATTTCAATTGACTTATTTGAAATAAAAAATACACGTTAAAATAATAATTAAATTTGAAGTTATATACAATGGAACTCTTTTTCATAAATGTTATAAAAGCAACTAATATCTACATGTTAGAAGTTATAGTTTTAATAATGCATTGATGAAGCAATGTATATTCCGATTATTTGTCATCCCTCTTGGAGAAGAATTTTATTTTGGCATTGGGCAGGGAATATATTTTTGTTGCAGGAAGTATGGACATGTTCAAAGAATGACGGTAGCATATCAAATGAACAAAGAGGACTTTAGAAGGGACTTCTGCTGAGAAATTTGGGAACAATTTGAGCATCAATCTTAAGAAAGGTATTGATAGATTATTACCTATCAATAGCTTTTCAATATCAAAAGTCTGTAGTCCAAAATGATGAAATAAGTAAATGAATAAATAAATGAGGAATAATGGAAAACTCTTTTTAACAGAATAATGACATATAATAAATATAGAATAAATAATTGGAGTTAAAATTCATCCATGGCTGCTAAAACTAGTGGATGAAAATTTGAAGAGAAATGGAAAATTTACATAGCCTCAAATTATTGTTATAAATTACTTAAAAATTATAAGCAGAAGAGTGATCATTTTACAGAACAGAAAAATTGGAGACACTGTCCTAAGCAAGAGGTTAAAACTACTATGACTAAATATTATGTAAAACAAATATTGTGTGACACGATGTAAAAAAATACAGCATTGCTTTTGTGGCATTTATTGCAAAAGTACAAAAATGAATATAATAAATCCAATTTGAAAAACGTTTTAAACAATACTGATTTGTATTTTTCAACCATGAAAAAGGCTAACAATGGACAAAATAAGATTAAACGAAAAAGGTCAGATAATCGTTTCAGATGATAGTAGACTGAAGAGACATGGAAACTAAATGTTTTGTGTGACCTTGCTTTGCGTGATCCTACATAAATAAAACAGTAATTTGGGTCATTATACAGATAATACATGAAATGTGATTATTTTATCTGGAGTAGAAGAAATTATTATATCAATGTTAAATTTCTTAATTAAAAAAGCATATATATGTGTACCCATATATGTACACAATATATAGATATTACCTCAAAGAGAGAGGGAGACAAATTGAGAGAATGATAAAGCAAATAGGAAAAATGTTAACAATTGGTAAATCTGAGTAAATAGTATTCAGGATCTCTAGTGCCATTCTTGCAGCAGTTTCATAAGTTTTAGCATACATAAAAACGATATGTGCACAAAGTTTTTATCAATTAACATTTTATATTATTTTTGTTAATGACAACTGTATCTATAGACATTTGACAAGTAATACATAGATCTGATAATTCCTTACCTAGATGATATGGTTTGGCCGTGTCCCCACCCATATATCACCTTGAATTGTAGCTCCTACAATTACCACATACTATGGGAGGAACCCAGTGGGAAATGATTGAATTACGAGGGCAGGTCTTTCCTGCACTGCTCTTATGATACTGAATGAGACTCACAAGATCTGATGGTTGTAAAAACGGAAGTTTTCCTGCCCAATCTCACTCTTCGCCTACTGCCATCCATGTAAGATACGATTTGCTCCTCCTTGTCTTCTCCCATGGTTGTGAGGCTTCCCCAGCCACGTGGAACTGTAAGTCCAATTAAACCTCTTTCATTTGTAAATTGCCCAGTCCTGGGTACGTCTTTATCAGGAGCATGAAAATGGACTAACACAACAAAATATTATTTTATATGTATATCTGTTCTACTTTGTTTAATAAATTATAAATTCAACTAGTTTAAACGCAAAACTGTTTATTGAAAACAATTCATGATGGGTATTTGTGCTTAACTGGCATATGGACACTTGGAGTTCTTATAGATCAATTTAATGGGAATTGTGTTCTCCCAAAAATCATTTGCAAAGTTTATTGTATATTGGATTTGTCTGTGGAGATATTTTTTACATTTATATTACATTGTTAAAAAGTATATTACATTTTTCAAAAAGTATTGGAACAATTGTTAGCCCAACTTTCTTTAACCACTACCCCAAGTTACTTTTTTTCCTGGTACAATGGAAAAAACTTATTTTTGTCAGTATACTTTGCACACTCTCTACGTAAATTTACTACGTATCACAACATATGCATGTGTTTGTATGTCTATGTTGGTTTGGTTCTTTTCATCCTTAAGATCATATATCTGGTGTTGTTATTTCTTTCTAACTCATTGTGTTAGGCTGCTCTTGTATTGCTGTAAAGAAATATCTGAGGCTGGGTAATTTACAAAGAGTTTTAACTGGCCCACATTTCTGCAGGTTGCACAGGAAGCGTGACACTGACATCTGCTTGGGTTCTGGGGAGGCCTCAGAAAGGTTTTACTCATGGAAGAAAGCAGAGTGGGAGGTTACACATCACTTGGCAAAGGCAGGAGCAACAGGGAGTTGTGAGGGAGGTGCCACACACTTTTAAACAACTGGATCTCAGGTGAACTCACTCATCACCAAGGGGTTGGAGGTTAGCCATTCATGAGGGATACACTTCCATAATCCAAACACCTCCCACCAGGCCCCACTTCCAACACTGCAGATTACATTTTAACATGAAATTTGGCAAGGACACAGATCCAAATCACATCACTCACCAATACCTGTTTTTTAACAATAAACTTGAGTCATCAAAACTCACAAGTTTGTACCACCAGTTGATATTTCAGCTATTGACTTTGAGAATTATGCATTGTAAGGAAGGAGAAATTGAGATGAATGCCCATGTAGTAGCATATACAATATTGTGTTTTGGATCAGCTCTGTGCTAGCGGAATATACAGATGCATTAAAACAAAAGATGTGATAGCACTGCAAAAACATTTTTTTACTTTAATATTCCTAATTTGAGCCAATTATTATACTGTAAAACAAAAATCCATTTGCATTTTATCTCGTTAACTGTTAATACAAAATATTCTCTTTTATGTCAATTTTTAAATTTAAAATAGTGCACATAGGCAAGGCATAGTGGCTCGTGCCTGTAATTCCAGCATTTGGGAGGCCAAGTGGATGGATCGTTTGAGCTCAGGGGTTAGAGACCAGCCTGGGCAACATGGCAAAACCTCATCTCTACCAAAAAAAAAAAAAACCAGGCGTGGTGTTGTGCCCCTGTAGTCCCAGCTCCTTGGGAGGTTGAGGTGGGAGGATATTTGAGCCTAGGAAGTTGAGTCTGCAGTGAGCCATGATCGCACCACTGTGCTCCAGCCTGGGCAACAGAGTGAGAACCTGTCTCAAAAAAAATAAATGAATAAATAAAAATAAAGTAGCGCACATGGCAGCTGGTTCTCCACACAAACTCTGAAAAGTAGGTTTTGTGAAATATTCATAGATAAATCATCTACTAGATAAAAATTACATTGCCAGCATTAAAACAAAATGTATATTCTGAAAAATTTAGAATATTATTTTATGTAAAATTATTTTTTACATTTTAAAAAATGTAAAATGTAATTCCAAGCACATAGTAAGGATGCAGAAACATCTATTCGTTGACTGTTCATTTATGGTTTGGTGGAGTTCTATGTAAATATAGAATACATGCTTTTCAACTCGTATTTTCAACTAATCTTTTAAAAGTATTTCCATTGCATATTAAGGATAGTATATCAATTCAGAAAATATCATTTCAATCCCATTAAATAATAATGGCATTAATATATAAAATAAATTATCATTTCAATCACTTTAAGATATTTCAAAATGCTAATCTATTATCTGAAAAGAGCAGTGCACAAACATTAGTTTCACATATTTATATTAATATAAGACATCTAAAAATGTGGTTTGTTTTTAATTACAGATGTTGACTATCTCCATGTGTATTTGTGTCTTTGTATGTGTGTAAGCTTTTCCTCTATGCTTATTTTGCTTTAAGTGTTCAACCGGCAAGTTAAAATGTTTAATATAATGTTATATTAATTAATATTTAATAATGTTAATTAACTCTCACTTTAATAAATAGCTTTCCTTGTTATTCCTCTAATTTTCCATTAAAATCTAAATTTTCATAAAGAAAATTATACATAGTTTCAATGCTACTAACAAGTTCGGACAGCTTATGTTCATGATAACCTGCCTTGTTATTTTCGTTAAGTGAAGTTCTGTAAGAATGTGATCATCGACAATCTCTAGTAACTGGGCAAATAGCATAGCTTACTGGAAGAATGCATAAAATATGTTTGAATCATAGCCATTATTGTTTTGCCAAACAAAATATTAAGCAGCATTTATCTTACTACCTTGAAACATGCAGATAAATATTTCTTTTGTGTACTTTATCATCTTTCTTTTTTCCTCCATTCCTCCCTGTCCTGTACTTTTTATTATTTATGGAAACAAATCACTGACATTTTCAAGATACACATGGTTCTGATTAATAATTTGATCAATATCAGACAGAATGATACATGCAAGAGAAATAAATTTTGATTTAATCTCTGCCATTTTTTTTTTTTTGGTACAGCAGCTTAACCTTTCGCCTCACATATGAGTATCCTAATTTTATAAGTTGGAAAATGACAGGCATGTAAAATAACTTTGCCAATATTTTCCAGCAACCAGTAGGTGGTTACTACCTACTAGTGGTGCTTTGAACCCATCTGTCTGGCTGAAAACCCATGTTGTGAGATACTGCCTCTCATGTGATATCTATGAAAACAATTAAAAAGGTTAAGTTTACACCTCGTCAAACTCTTGGGCTGACTGCTATCCTATTTTTGTGATATGGTAGTAATGTATGAAAAGAAAAACTGAGGCTTGTATGAGTAGTTCACTTATGCTATTGCAAGGTATCAAGTTGCAAAGAATTCTTATCTTTCACTCTTCTCTACTTATTATTCAGAACTACAAATCTATTTCAAAAAGAAATGCTGAGTGGCCACTCTTCTTTGGTAGTAGTTTTAATATCTTTGTTTATTCCTAGTATTCCATAGGAATTCCATACCTCAAGCCCACAATGGCTTGCAAGAATTTCTGAGCACCAGGCAATGTTGAGATCCTTGTGTAACCCTGATGAGAAAATTTACATGTAAAAGCCTGAATGTCAGTTAGCTGAGAGGAAATTGTATCTTTTTATCCATTTTTATATTAACTACTTAACAACCAATTCATACTCAATTTTAGCTTAATAGAAATGTTTAATATGAGCCAAATGTGAAAAAAAAATTATATTTATTAAGGTATGATAATCTTTACCACTCTCCAAATTAAAACAACTAAAAAACCAATTTCCTCAAAGAAGATGCTATAGTTAAATTATATATATTTAATTTCTCAATGAAAATAACAATATAATTCAGAAAACATTATCTTCTCAAATTTGTCAACAAATTTAATTTATAATTCCTGCATAAAAGAGTTACATGTGTTCAACTTCTTCTCTTTTATTTCACTCTAAAAAATGACCTTCAGAGTGTAATGAATAATGGATTACTTTTTAAGAAATTGTTCGATGATTACTTATTTTCCTCCTATAGGCCATTATACATTGACTAATTTATTTTGGCAATAATTTAAAATATTTTGTATATATTACAACTAATTATATATATAAAATAAATAAATATATAAAAAGAATATATATATATATATATACACACACATTCTTCCTCCAAAACTCACATTAGCAATTTTAATGTTTGAGAAAATTAAAGCCATCATTTGCCTTAGTTTAAAAATGATACAACGCTTTTTTTTTTTTTTTTTTTTTTTAGACGAAGTCTTGTTCTGTCGCCAGGCTGGAGTGCAGTGGCGCCATCTCAGCTCACTGAAAACTCCGCCTCCCGGGTTCAAGCGATTCTCCTGCCTCAGCCTCCCGAGTAGCTGGGATTACAGGCACCTGCCACCACGCCCAGCTAATTTTTGTATTTTTACAAGAGACGAGGTTTCACAGTGTTGGCCAGGATGGTCTCGAACTCTTGACCTCGTGATCTGCCCTCCTCGGCCTCCCAAAGTGCTGGGATTACAGGCGTGAGCCACCGCGCCCAGCCGTTCAGTTTTATAAATATCCCCAAATGTTTACTATTATTTCATGATTAATCATTTACATAATTTTTCTTTCTCTCTTCTATATTGGTTTGTTAAATTAATTGAAAACATAACAGAGGCGTCCTCCCGGGGATGGGTAGCCGGCGCCCACCTGCCCGCGGACAAGGGAGCCGGGGTGCCTGCGAGCGGGGGACGCCAGGCGGGGCCGGTGGCGGGACGAGGAGGAGGAGAGCGCCGGCCGGCGTTCCCCCAGGCGCAGCCGACGGGGACCCAGTCGCACTTCCTGTATGAGCGGCGGCCCAGCCCTAACCGCCACTCATCCCCTTGTCTCCCTCTCTGAACCCGCCCATCGTGGGTAGGACACTCAGCCGTCACCGCCTGCTCTGCTGGCCGCTACCTGCAGCAAGATAGGGCCGCCAACGCCCGGCGACGACAAGGAGGAGGTGGCCGCCGGAGCCGGGGCACCCGCCGCTGCTGGAGCGACAGGTGATTTGGCTTCTGCACTGTTAGGAGGAGCACCAAACTGATGGGAGGTTTTGTCAGCCACACCTACAACTATAAAAGATGAAGCTGGTAATCTAGTACAGATTCCAGGTGCTGCTACTTCAAGTGGGCAGGCAGTATGTTCTCCCCCTTCAGAATCTGCAGAATGAGCAAACATTTTCAGACGCAGCAGGATCAGATTCATCAAATGGTACGTAGTCCAATCAACAGATGGTCGGCAGGTTCAAACTGGTTTCACAGGCTTTTCAGATAATGGGGGTATAAATGAAGAAGGCAGTCAAATTCAGATCATTCCTGGCTCTAATCAAACCTTACTTGCCTCTGGAACACCTGCCAACATCCAGAATCTCCTACCACGGACTGGTCAAGTCCAGGTTCAGGGAGTTGCAATTGGTGGTTCATCTTTTGCTGGTCCAACCCAAGTAGTTGCTAATGTGCCTCTTGGTCTACCAGGAAATATTACGTTTGTACCAATCAATAGTGTCGATCTAGATTCTTTGGGACTCTCCGACAGTTCTCAGACAGTGACTGCAGGCATTAATGCCTATGGACATTTGATAAACACAGGACAAGGTACGGATAGTTCAGACAATTCAGAAAAGACTGGTGAGAGAGTTTCTCCTGATATTAATTAAACTAATACTGATACAGATTTATTTGTGCCAACATCTTCATCACAGTTGGCTGTTAGGATACATAGTATAGGTATATTACAACAAAACACAAATAGCTTGACTACTTCTAGTGGGCAAGTTCATTCTTCAGATCTTCAGGGAAATTATATCCAGTCACCTGTTTCTGAAGAGACACAGACACAGAATATTCAGATTTCTCCAGCACAGCCTGTTGTACATCTACAACTTCAAGAGTCTCGGCCGCCAACCAGTGAAGTCCAAATTGTGCAAGGTATTACACCACAGACAATCCATAGTGTGCAAGCCAATGGTCAAAATATATCACAACAGGCTTCGCAAAATCTTCAGTTGCAGCTGAATCCTGGAAACTTTTTAATTCGGGCACAGACAGTGACCCCTTCTGGACAGATAACTTGGCAAATGTTTCAAATACAAGGTGTCCAGAGCTTGCAGAATTTGCAAATACAGAAAACTGCTGCCCAACAACTAACTTTGACACCTGTTCAAACACTCACACTTGGTCAATTTGTGGCAGGTGGAGCCTTCACTTCAACTCCAGTTAGTCTAAGCACTGGTCAGTTGTCAAATCTACAGTTACAGTAAACTCTATAGATTCTACTGGTATACAGCTACATCCAGGAGAGAATGCTGACAGTCCTGTAGATACTAGGATCAAGGAAGAAGAACCTGATCCTGAAGAGTGGCACAACTGTGTTGTGACCACAGTTAAGAGTACACGTGGCAGATGAAGAAGGGGACCAACAACATCAAGAAGGAAAAGGACTTCAGAGGGTAGCTTGCACCTGCCCCAACTGTAAAGCAGGTGGTGGGAGAAGTACCAATCTTGGGAAAAAGAAGCAACACATTTGTCCTATACCGGGGTGTGGTAAAGTCTATGGGAAGACCTCACATCTCAGAGCTCATCTACATTGGCATTCTGGACCATGCCCTTTTGTTTGTAACTGGATGTATTGTGGTAAAAGATTTACTCGAAGTGATGAATTACAGAGGCACAGTAGAACACATACAGGTGAGAAGAAATTTGTTTGTTCAGAATGTTCAAAATGCTTTGTGAGAAGTGACCATCTTGCCGAACATACTAAAACACAGCAGAATAAAAAAGGTATTCACTCTAGCAGTACGGTGCTGGCATCTGTGGAAGCTGTGCAAGACGATACTTTGATTACTGCAGGAGGAACAAAACTTATCCTTGCAAATATTCAACAAGCTTCTGTTTCAGGAATAGGAACGGTTAATACCTCTGCCACCAGCAATCCAGATACCCTTACCAACACTGAAATACCTTTATGGCTTGTCACAGTTTCTGGAAATGAGACAATGGAGTAAATATTACACAAACACATATTCACTGTGGTTATTTTTATACAGTACTGAGAAGAATATTGTTCCTAAGTTCTTAGATATCTTTGTATTGATGTGCAAAAATTTTTGGATTGACAGTAACTTGGTTATACATGACACTGAAATGCCTTACTTTGTATGATATTCCATAGTATATTAAAATGGTAAAATTGCATGGATTTTGTAGATACTTTTGGAATCTAGAAGAAATGAAATTTTACCACGTTATATAAAGAGAAAATTGAATTTAACAATGCGAATGGTAGTCTAACCAAATGCATCAATACTGTGTGGTTTAGTGTAAAAATGAGAACATGTTAGTATTTATCTATTGTAAGATAAAGCTGGTGGGTGAAAGAAATCATGTTATGATAAAAATTTTGTAATTTTCTTGATGACTGGAATTTTTATTATGCATAACTGACAAATCAAGTGTCCACACAAATGTTACATAGTGTAAGTTTTACTTAGCTTATCAATTTGTTGTTTCGAAGCTAATTATTTTAATTAGGTTAACTATCTACAAATTTTAAGCATTACTCTGGTAAGATTTTGAAAACTACATTTTAACATGGAACTCTAGGGATAGTCACCTTTTAAATCCTGTTAAAAAGCCATGTTTAAGATTTAACTTGCCAAAACAATGTCTTGTTAATATTATTTCAATAACAAAATTGGGCAACATAACCAATGTTTAAGAAGGTTTAAAATGTATAGCTTGAGGCATTTGGATGGTAAGAAAATGTTATAGTGAATTATCCCTTTTCTTGAATATTGGGGGACCAAAACAATAAGGCGTATCACATCTTAGCAGTGATTTTTATCCAATTTTGTTTTCAAAAACCATACGTCTGCCAGCGCCTTAAAAGCCATCATGTAAATTACCAGTAAAGTATAACATATGCAAACATAACCAAATCACTTTCATAGTGACGATACTCCAACCATATGGATATTAGTCATAGACAAACTAGAGGTTTTATCATTTTTTTGTCTTTTTTTTTTTTTTGTCCAGGTAGTCAGTCTGCACTTAAATATCAATCATTTTCCTTTTTTGCTTCTTCCCTTAAAATTTATATGTATCTAGTACATTTAATTGAGAACGTATTTTTTTATTATGCTGTATTTTCTTTTTATTTTTAAATTAGTTTATATTTTCAATTAAAAAAATGTACAAAATAAAGCTACAATGCTGGTCATGGAAGAGCTATACAATTTTCCTAAATGTATACCTGTAACTGCAGCAGTTCACCTATTGCAAAAATTTGGAATTCTGTTCATTTGTTATTCTTGAGACCATCTCAAATTTAAAGGCTACCTTGATGTATGTTTAAAGTGTATTATAACAGTGTGATAGTTAATAAAACACTATTCCTTTTTCTTTTGAAAAAAATAACAGAGGGATATGGAGTTCAATATTTATTTTAATTGTGTACTTTTCTGTTATTCAGCAATAAATAATAAATAAGCAATAAATATGTTTTATATAGGCGAAGGCAATTTGCAAAAACTTAGACCATTCACCATATTAGAAAAAAGCAGGACAATTTTATATTGTTGTAGAAATATACTTTATGGAATACACTATTGAATCTAAGCATTAGTGGCTATTGCTGCTTCTTAAATTTTCATGCCATGAATTCAAAAATACCTTATATATTTCCTTTCTTTAGTGTTCCAGTAGTTGATAAAAGATCCAATGAAATGAAACTAGGTTGGGTATCAAAAATTTAAAAGTTTTATTGACAGAATGGTATTACTCTACAATAGATAATTTCCCCACTTAATCTGATAGTGATTTTTTTAAAATCTTATTTGAAGTATTACAGTGTACAAATAAATTCTGGTGACTTTTTTCATTGAGAGTAAAATCATGCTATTTGATAAATATAATTTTTTTTTTTTTTTGAAGTGGAGTCTCACTCTGTCACCAGGCTGGAGTGCAATGGTGCGATCTTGGCTCACCACAAACTCCGCCTCCCAGGTTCAAGCAATTCCCCTGCCTCAGCCTCCTGAGTAGCTGGGACTACAGGTGCACACCACCACGCCTGGCTAATTTTTTGTATTTTAGTAGAGACGGGATTTCAACATGTTGTCCAGGATGGTCTTGATCTCCTGACCTTGTGATCTGCCCACCAGTTTTTATAATTATGTAAGTGAATAAATTAAATCCAAGGATTTTTAAAAAATTGTAGATGCTCATATACACTTAGTTATATATACATTTCTGTACATCAGTTCTATATGTTACACCCATCATTTGAGTCTCATATTTAATCTTTAGATGTTTCATTCTTTCAGATGTTTGAAATATGAAGGAGAGTAGATAACACTGTTAAATTAGCCATAACTACTGAGAGGTTTGTGTATAACCTGGGTGTAATTTGCAACTCACATATGTCTTTTGCCAAAATCCCTTGGTAAAATAAATGTAAACTAGGATCAGAAGAATCAGGGCTTGGGTAAGATGAGACCATTAAGGTGCAAAGTTTAAGGCACAAGATTCAACCGAATGCAAAAACATCTGTCATCAAAATAATGACTTTTCAGAGGATGGGCTGACCAGATGTCTCCAATCTGGAATTTGCCTCTTAGCCTGTTGTGCAGATGTGGGTTGATTACACGGGATTGGGCAATAGCAGACGGGGCTTCATATTCAGTAAAGAGCCTGAGCATTAGAACGGATCTGGATACAGGCTTTTGAGGTGATGCATCTGTGCAAGGTGGGAGAGTTGGTCAGGACCTTGAGGGCAGGTGGAAGCAGAATGTCTGTACAATGTTTCTTATTGATACTGTTCTAAATAAAGAAAAAGATGCTAACCTTACTGCCAAATCCTCGAGAAAGAAGTGTACTCTTTAGGTGAGGACTTCTCTGATAACAAAGAGTGTAAACCTAAGTTAATGGTCAGCCCACATGAAGTTCCTCTTGTCAAATTTTATGATTCATTACACCTGAAAAGAGAGTATTTAGATAGCAAAGAGAAAAATGAAACTAATGTTGAATTATTGAATGTATCTAATTAAGCAGTCTGCCAGTTGTTGGACATTTAGGTCATTCCAGGTTTTCCTTGCTGTAAACAGCCTAAGGATGAGAGAACCAAAAGCTTAACTCCAATACAGTCAGAAGGAAAATTCTTTCAGTTGAAGGAATGAACATTTTTATTCCCATCATAACATGTAACAAATTTTAGTTCTATATCAAAAATGGAAAATTGGAGTTCTTTACTGATGATGGGAAAGAACAAAAAGACAACATCCACTTGTGGTTCAGAGTGATACTGAAACCTGAAAAGGGAAGGAGAATCCCCTAAACATGGGTGCAGGAATCCCTACTCTCCCTTTCTCGCCTCTTGTTAATTTTCCTTCTCGCCCTGCTCTGCCTAAGCTGGAGTCATGGACTTGTGTGTTCCCCACACAGACTTGCACCAGGCTGCCATCTGGCCCTGGCCCTGGCCCTGGCCCAGTGGGCACTAACTATCCTCAGTTAGCAGATCTGGCAAGTCCTTCTTGGCCTGTGTCCTCTCAGTCCATGCATGGTATTTAATGATGTGAACCTCACTTTTCTGAAATTGCACCCTCCTCTTCTGGCTTCTAGGATAACTCTGTCTAAGACCACTCTCTGTTCTTCCCATCATCAAATGCTGCTGTTCACCACAGTGCTTTCTCTGACTTTCTTGACAAATTCTGTCTTTCATAGGGCGAAAGCTTAGCCACATGATGATGACTCCGACTGAATTCTCTATAGAGTTCCAGGACAAAATTTTCAGTTTCTAATTGTATGTTCTCCATCTTGCATTTAAAAAATTTAAATACATTCCTTTCTCTCCTGATTCAACTAAAAAGAAAAAAAATTGATCCCTTTGCCAAGTTCTTTCAATTAATGTTATATTATCCCATTCATTCGGGTTTGAAATCTCATAGCTGTCTTTAACTCTTCTTTATTCCTATATCTAATCAGCCACCATCTCCTGTCAGTTCTTTTTCCCAAAAAGGGTTACATTTTGGTTATTTGAGGCTGAATTATACATGGTTGAGGCTGAGCAGTGAGCTGGGACCCCTTTACCTCTCCAGCTGAGAGCATTTATTGGCCAACTGTCAAGCGGGGAAGCAAGAACCCAGGAGGCAGAAGAGCTGCCTTTGATGTAAGCAGAGAAGAGAGATCAGAACTCTGTTTGGCCTCCTTTTCTCAGCTTCCTGCCTCCACCTCAAGTCACATATGCTCCCAAGGCTTGACCCATTCCCAAAATGAATGATCAGCATTCATCCACTAACCAGAAGCATGTCCCAGCTCTCTTCTGTGTCCCACCATTAGAAAATCAAAAGCTGACTTTAGATTTGATTTAGTTGTAGTTAGGAATTAACAACTTCTTTGTCACTACCAATTTCTCCCAGTTAATGGAATATGAATAGTAATTCTAGAATCTTTTATCTCCTTTCTTACTATCATAGCCCCTATTCAAATCTTCAGATTCTCATATCTAGATGATTGTAGAAATAGCCTACTGGTCTTCTCTGCTTAGAGTCACATTCCAATTCAGCACCCACCTTGCATTATTCTAACATACACCTTTGATCATACTGTTTCTCCACCAAAAGCTTCAATGGTCAAGTACTGAACCTTGCTTATGTATCATTTACATTGCTAGTATCCCTGCTATAACAAGTTCTTACTTACTCAGAATAAGTTTAAAATGTAGTACAAAACACACATAAACTGACAGTAGCTCAAGTGCCCACCAATAAGGAATTGCTAAATAAATTCTAGTATATTCATGACATGGGATAATAGGAAGTCGTCCATGATATGTAATAATAGGAAGTCATTTGAAAGAATGAGATGATGGCTTACAAATATATCTACCACATATCTTCCTTGTTTTTATGTTTTATAGGAAAACAAAAATTTAGGAAGAACACACACCAAACAGTTATAACCCGTAGCTACCCGAGGAGTGAGATTAAGAGGAAAAGAAGGCTTCTATGTTAATTGTTTTATAAGCGTCTGTGTTCTTAAAATGTGTCATAGCTTGCAGGTATTATTTTAAATATCAAAAGCCAATAAGGGTTTATAAATTCATTTGTTATCTGAGAGCTTCATTTAGAAATTGTTATCATTATATTTTTATTTGGGATACATTAACATACGTGTATGTATAAACCTAAGATTTAATAATATAATGTACTCACTAGACTGTGCTCATTAAAGCCAGAGTTTATATAATCCAAACAAATAAAAGGGGACAATAATATTGCAAGGATTTGGGATGTCTAAAGTGGCCTGTAGAAATACGTAGATTTGAATCTCAAGTTTAGAAAGCCCTGAACCCCATATTGAGATCATCTGGGGACTTGCTCAATTAGGAGAGGCCATCTCACTGCGTGTGTCACTGAGGCAAAGATGGCCTCAAAAGCGTCCAGCCTGTGCAGTTGCCCTGGGCTCCATGCTCAGCAGTGCCGCATGCTTGATTTAAAGCTCTGCTGTCACTGTCTTGACATTCTTATTGGATCCAAACAAGGAGCCCCACGTTTTTGTTTTGCACTGTGCACTACGCATTACATAACTGGTCCTGCATAGAGATGGGTTGTGGTACCTGTGCAGGAAGGTGAAATAGGAAAGATGATTTTCTAAGTATGCAGCAAACATGGAATCATACTAAGTGATACCTCATGCTATTAAAATTAATGATGTGAGAAAAATACACTTAAAGTTTTGAAGGTAATTTTTATTGTTTGAGAGCAACATCCTCTGAGATGTGGTGAAGGTGATAATGTAGTCAAGTGGATATAAATCCTGCATATTTACCTAGAGATCATACATTAAGATATGAGGCCATGCAACATAGTTAAAAGGGAATATGGAATTAGATGATATTTATCTAAAATACTAGCGCAAGCACTTACATGCTTCTTGACCTTAGGTAAGTTCTGTGTTCACTCTTGCTCCACTGAAAAACTGAGTACTAATGCCCATTTATGAGGCAGCAAACAGGTAGCCATCAAAAATGTGTCCTATGATGTTGGCCTCATAAGTGTCTTAAATTATTTAGTTTTTTTCTAACATTAAGCAGAAGTAGATTTTAATCCCAAATACAGATTACTGGCTTTACTGAAAAGAAAGAAATTTTGACAAAATTGGGCCAGCATGACAGGAATCCCCTGAAGCTAATGCCTGCTTGCTTTACAGAAGATTGTCTCCTCCACTTTGAAACTTTTCCAACATTCCATATTACCTCCCCTGTCCTCTTCATCCAGGTGCCGGGTTATTGTAGACATCTATGTTTTATTCCTGACCTACTTTAGACGTTTTGAGAGAGAATTAACTAGATAGCAAAAGGGACATGCTCAGCACATATTTAATGCTAAACAAAGGAAAGCGTAGAAAATTGTGAAGGCAATGCTGCTGCTGCCGCCGCTATTTGATAATGACATCCTGGTTGGCTAATATTATATAATCTTCATAACAACTCTAAGAATTAGACACTAATAGTGTCACCTTTGTAACAATATGTAAAACGATTTTTAAAAGAGGTCATAAAAACGATTTTTAAAAGAGGTCATATAACTTTCCCAAACCCACAGAGCTAGTAAGTGCCAGAGTTAAGATGAAAACTGAGAAAGTCTGATTTGAGAGTTTTTCATTCAAGTGCTGCTGTTACTACCCCTACTCTAACTTAGTAGTTATGGACGTATACTTTCAAATTCTGCACAATGGTAGAATATTCTGATTTTAAATTAGTATTAAGGTGAGTCTTATTAATTTAAAGCAAACAAATAAGTGCAAATGCAAGGGTATTTATTATTGAATACTTAATTTTTATCCCACATAACTTATATGCAAATTATAGGCAAAAATGTATGTTATTGAATAGAGGTGAGAGAATATCCAGTTTAAACCCCTGAAATCTTAATATGTATATATCTCAGATCATCATAATAGTTTCATACAGCTTTTGCGTGTAATTGTGCATAACAATGCAACAAGTAGCTTATTGCAGGTTCTGTTAAACTAATTTTCAATAATTGTTCTGTTCCTACTTCTAATATTTCTCTTGTCTGCACCCCTTCCTCTGCTGTCTTTCATTATGATTAAAGAAATAGTTTTAATTATAATTTTAATCTGCTTTAATATAAGACTCCATGCCAAGCTATTAAAAACTTGTTAACAAATACAGATAATAATGAATAAAATATTTGCAAAATTTAATGTAAAAAGTTTAAGAAGTAAAAGCTTAATAGCCTGACATAGAATGGAAACCATAGTATTTTTGTATGCAGCAATATTAAAGTAATCCTCAAAATCATAACAGGCTGGTCTCTATGGTTTGCTCCCTTCCTGCATGAGCCAATTGTTTTCATAAATGTCAATAGTGATATGGCTGAAATACTGTAGCAGTCCAAGTGTCTCAGTTTTCTCTGCATTGTCTTGATTTTTCTATTTGTTTTTTCCCTTTGGTATCTGATCATCAGATAGCAGGAATGATTCCTGTATAATATTCATTATTGGATTCTGACCGTATCCTGTGGTGCAGGTCAAAGTCAATCAATACATTGTATCTTGAATACCTCAAAGGATTTCAGCTTTAATTAGCACATTTCATAATTTATAAAGAATTGAAGCATTAGCAAGTTCATAGTAGTGGTCAAGAAATATAGGCAAATAATTTGACCTTGATGATATCACAGAAAAATTAAAATAATAACAAAGTTTAGTCAAGGCCAAAGGAGAAAATTGGGCCTTCAGAGTTTAGTATAGTCTTATTTACAACATATCGCACTAATGATTGCACATATAGTAAAAGCGTTTTTTTTTCCCCTTGCATAAGGAAAGGAAGATGTATTTTTTTCATGAATACATTTTAATGCAAAAATCCTGTTGTATACAATCTTGTAATTGATTACTTCACTTACTGAATTATTAGCACATAATTCTGGATTAACAGTGAAACTCCAAACAAGTTTTATATGTATTGACACATCAATGTAGTGTTTCTATTGTCTCTTTTTAACAACTAATGCCTTAATCAACCCAAGCTATGAAAAATAAAAGACACTATATTCAAATGTAAGGGGTGTTGCATATGTGTAAAAACACTAATTAGCTAATTCTTCAATAGGAAAACTTTTGATAGAGAAAAAGTATCAGAACCAACCAACCAAATAATAAACACAAAAACAACTGTGCTATTTATTTTTCTGCCTAAAACTTTTGTTATAGAAAGGTTTAGTTTGGAGTTTTCAGCCAGAATAAACTCGAATCAGCTCCCTAACCTTTTTTTTTTCTTCATTTTATCCCATTAAATGCAATGGGGCCCACTACGCTTGTTATAGCTACTACTCCAGAATGAGAATACAAGAAACAAAAAGCAACCTTTAATGGGTTCTTGTGCCCTAGGAATTGATAAAAATAATCAGTCAGCTGCTGATTCTCTTACCGTTTTTTCTTGTGATGTTGGCAAGTTTGCTTTGATTTGGCCTTTTCTTGCATCAGAGACTCACATTTGAGCACTGAAAATGGAGAACAGGAGGGCAAAGGTTGGCAATGGAGAGCGGGAAGGCAAAGGTTGGCAATGGAGAGTGGGAGGGCAAAGGTTGGCAAAAAAGGCCCCAGTGTCTGCTATGGTTTTAGACCAGCCAAGCCCATTGGGATTAGAGAGCCTTTCTCATGGTGCTGACTGAGTTACTGCAGTTCTGGGTTAGACTGAGAAACAACACCATGTTAAATAGTAAAGTAATATTATTTATTTTAGCATCTTTGGTGTCTGTTTTTTCCTTAGTTTTACTCCTGTTCAAGCGGTAATCATGCTTCTGAATTCCATGGCTAAATATCACTTCAATATTTACTCTTCTTTCATTACTACTTTGTAATAGGTTAAATAAATTATGATATCTTGAAAATAACCAATTAAATGAGTACTTTTTACATGCAATGGTCAAAATAAGATCCTTTGTTTTAATCCTAGAATGATACTAAATTACTCATCAGAATCACACGAAATAATAAGATCAAGTATTTTCCCTTACACACAGGCAAAAAATTTGGAAAACTGTTACAATTTAAATGAACTCTAATATATTCTAGCTTTGAGGGATATCTGAGTGATAGAAATATTACTTTATCCACCATATACAAAAACAAAAAACAGGTAAATTTTGTAGTAGTTAAAATTTACCTGTCATTCTGAAAGTAATTAAATCAACCAAGAGGAACATTTTTATTTGTTTCAAGGTCACAATTTTGATTTTGTCGATTAAGAGACAAACTCTGTAAAATATTTGAAAAGATTTATTCTGAGTGAAATGTGAGTGATTATGGCCTATGACACCACCCTCAGGAGACTCTGAGAATGTGTGCCCAAAGTGGTCTGGGTGCAGCTTGGTTTTATACATTTTAGGGACACATGAGACTTCAATCAAATACATACAAGGAATACATTGGTTAAGTCCAGAAAGGTGGGACAACTTGAAGTGGGCTTATAGGTACTCCAGCTTACAAGTAGGTCTAAAAATTTTCTGGTTGACAATTGGTTGAGTTTATCAAAAGACATGGGATTAATAGAAAGAAATGTCTGACTTAAGATAAGAGATTATAGAGAAATTTTAATCATGCAGATGACACCTCCAGGTAGCAGGCTTCAGAGAGAACAGATTGCAAATGTTTGTTAATGCTTCTTAAAGGTCTGTGTTGATGTTAGTGCTGCAGAGGTATAATGAGGCATATCTGACCCCGCATTTCCTGTCACGGCCTCAAAGTCTCTCAGGTTAGATTTTAAAAGAGTGCCCTGGCCAAGAGGAGAAAGTCCATTCAGATGGTTGGGGCGGGGCGGGGGCGCTTAGAATTTCATTTTTGGTTTACAATTTCCATACACCTTTGGCTTTTAAAAGTAATGAGCCATGTGTCAAAGAAATAAGAAAACATTGACTTGAAGAAGCAGTAACAACATAATTAGCTTCTAGAGATCCAGAATTAAAATATTAAAATTTAAAAACAATATATGACTGTGTTACCTGTGGGAGAGATCAGAGTTACCCTGAGTTACCAGCGGCATATCCGCATGGGTCTGCAGCAACTTCAGTCCTTGCCTCCTCAGAAGAAAGAATTTGACTGAGGTGTGTCAAGCAGAAAAAGAGACCAAGAGCGAGTTTCATAGCAGGAGTGGAAGTTTATTTAAAAAGGCTTCAGAACAGGAAAGAAAGGAGAGATCACTTGGAAGATATCCAAGAGGGCGCCTGAAGGTCACAGAGAGAAACTAAAGGGTGTTTAACATTGATCATGGGGCTTTATAGGCTTGCCTGTTTCCCATGATTCTTCCCTTATGGTGGGCTTCCCGCATGCGCAGTGCCTTCCTTAGCCTTGGGAAATGAGCACGCTCAGTGTGTTTACGATGTTTATGCATATCCGTTTGAGGTTTTCTTCCCTTTTTTTGGTGGAGTGTACCCAGAAGCTCATATTTCACCGTTTTGTCTCTTAGTGCGCATGCTCAGTTTCTTCTCCCTGGCATCTGCATTCAGTTAACACTTTTAATGTTAATAGCTGTTAATCATCAGGAGACAGCCTCTCCCTGGCACTCTGGGTGGGCTGCTGAATTATCATTTTTAGAGAGTCAGTGTGATAATTGTCAAACAATCACCTGATATTCCTATTGAGTCTGGGGAGAGCCCCCTCTTACCCTGCTCATACCTATCTAGCTACCTATAACAACTGGGCTTTAAGTTGACTGTTAGGACCTTATTTATTCACTTATTTATTAGGACCTTATTATTCACTTATTTATTTGGATGTCACTTTTTTTTTTTTTTTTTGAGACAGTCTTACTCTGTTGCCCAGGCTGGAGTACAGTGGTGTGATCTTGGCTAATGCAACCTCCACCTCCCGGGTTCAAGTGATTCTCCTGCCTCAGCTTCCCCAGTAGCTGGGGTTATAGGTGTCCACCACCATGCCCGGCTATATATATAAATATATATACTTGTATTTTGGCAGAGATGGGGTTTCACCATGTTGGCCAGGCTGGTCTTGAACTCCTGACCTCAAATGATCCACCTGCCTTGGCCTCCCAAAGTGCTGGGATTACAGGCATGAGCCACCCTACCTGGCCAGATGTTACTTTCTAAATCATATTATTAGGATTACATTGAGTTATTAGATTACATTTGTAAAATTTACTGCTTAACAATATTAGATCTTTCAATCCATGATCACTGTACATATCTTCATTTTTAAGAGTGTCTTTGTTTCTTGCATCAACATTTTATACTTTCAGTGTGGTGATCCTGGTCATATTTTATTAAATTAATTTCTAAGTATTTTAAAGTGATATTTGATGTTATTGTAATTGATTTTTATTTTTATTTTCAATTGTTTTCTGCTAGTAAGTAACTATGAAATTTAGGCCTGTATATGAATCTCATAGTCCATTACTTTGTCCAATTAACTTATTAGTTCTTGTAACTGTTTTGCAAATTTTTGTAAGATTTTGTATGGACAGAATCATGTCATTTGCAAATACAGAGAGTTTTCCTTCTTCCTCTTTGATGTTTACATACTTTATTTATTTATTTATTTATTTATTTATTTATTATTTTTATTTTTATGTTCCTGACTAGAAACTGCAGAACAAACCTGAACAGAATTGGTGAGAGCCTGCCAATATCTTGTGCTTCATCCGAGAGGGAAAGAAGTGAACAGTTTATTGTTGACTATGTGCTATAAATTGTTCATAGATCTTGTTAGATAAAGAAAGTTCTCTTATATTCTTAGCTTGCTGGTATTTTTAAAAATCATGAATGGATGGTATTGTTTTCAAATTATTTATATGCATCTATTAAAATGATTGTATGGGTTATACTTTATTTTGGTATAGTGGTGAAATGCTCTGATTCCATTTCGTATGTCAAATTGATCTGAATTTCTAAGAAAAACCTTACTGTGTTTTAATATAGGGTTCTTTTTATGTATATCTGGGTTTGATTTGCTAATATCCTGTTCAGTATTTCTGAATTTGTATTCACAAGCGACATTGCTCTGCATTTTTGTCTCTATCAGATTTTGTTACTAGGGTTATGATGAACTAATAAAACAAGTTAGGAAGTTATTCTTCTATTTCCTGAAAAGTTTTATATAGGATATTCTTTCAGTATTTTCTAAAAGGAATTGTATAAGAATTATGACAATTCTTTATTAATGGTCTGACAGAATTTAAGTAGAAAGCCATGTAGTTCTGAAGTAATTTTTTTAGAAAAAAATTTTTCATAACAAATTTAATTTATATAAGGTGTACATTTGTAGGAATGGTGTGTTTATGTGTGTGCACATTTATGCATACGTGTGGCTATACGGATGGTCCGTGGCTTACAAGGGTATGACTTCCGATTTTTCAACTTTATGATGCTGAGAAAGCGATATGCATTTAGTAGAAACTGTACCTCCTATATGACCATCCTGTTTCTCACTTTCAGTGAAATTAATAAGTTACATAAGTTTAATAATAAGTTACATAAGATATTCAGCACTTTATTATAAGATAGGCTTTGTGGTAGATAATTTTGACCATCTGTAGGCTAATGTAAGTATTCTAACCATGTTAAGGTAGGCTAGGCTAAGCTATGATGTTTGGTAGGTGATTGATACAGTCTGGCTCTGTGTCCCCACCCAAATCTCATTTTGAATTTGTAATCTGAATTGTAAGCCCCGTGTGTTAGGGGAGGAACGTTGTGGGAGGTGATTAGATTATCGAGGTGTTTCTCTCATGCTGTTCTAGTGATAGTGAGTGAATTCTCATGAGATCTGATAGTTTTATAAGGGGTCTTTCCCTTCTTCACTCTGCACTTCTCTCCTGCCATGTGAAGAAGGACATGTTGGTTTCTCCTTCTACCTTGACTGTAAGTATCCTGAGGCCTCCCCAGCCATGCAGAACTGTGAGTCAACTAAACCACCTTCCTTTATAAATTATGCAGTCTTGGGTATTTATTCATAGCAACATGAGAAGAGACTAATACAGTAGGTTAGGAATACTAAATGCATTTTCAATTTGTGATGTTTATAATTTAGAATGGGTTTATTGATAAGTAGCAACATCATAGGTTGAGAACTATTTGTATAGAGATTTTTTCTTCTTGCATAATTTTTGATAAATTATATATTTTTAAAAGTATGTATGTCATCTAATTTGCTAGATTGCTGTCATAAATTTATTCATAATATTCTATCACTTTCAACTTCTGTAGAATCTGTAATGATAACCCTTCTTTCATTTCCAATACTGATAATTATGTTGTTTGCTTTCTATTTTTTCAGTATATCGATTTTGTTAATTACTATAAAATTGTTTTTGTTGTTTATAGATTATTTGCTGTTTTTTTATATTTTGTTGATTTTCCCTTTTATGTTATAATTTACCTTTCTTTAACTTACTATGCTGTTTCTTTTCATACCTTTTAAAGTGAAAGCTAGGATCATCGAAATTTAGATATATCACTATTTCTAAAACAGGCATTTAAAGCTGTACTTTGTCCTTTATACAATTCTCTTGTTGCATACTACAATTTTTATGTTATATTTCAATTAGCGTTTATTTCAGTATAGTTCTATTTATCACTCAAATCATCTACCTCTTTACTTTTTTGAAGTTTCTCTATCACTTGATGACTAGTTTTTAAGTCAATTTTTGCTTAATATATTTTGAAACACTATTATTAGGAGCATACTCATTTATAGTTGTCTTTTTCTTAAATTTATTTTGGTATCATTGTGAAATATCCTTCTTTATTTCTGATAATACTTTTTTGATATTAATATTCCACTCTACCTTTCTAATATTTATTGTTTGCATGCTTTATCTTTTTCTAACTAGTTATTTTTCAAATGTCTGTCTCTTTATATTAAATAGCATATTTTATTGACAGCATATAGTTGAGTTTCACTATTTTGTCCATTCAGATAACATGAAATTTTTTATTCCAGTGTATAATGTAGTAATGAGACAGGAGGCAGTTGGGGGCTGGTTAGGTAGATTGAGAAGGAGGGTCTCAGGAAAAGGGCAGAGATGGACAATGTTCACAGGAACAACCATGGGACAGTACCTACAGTACCTACCTTCTTCTTGTGCCAGGACATTGCTCAGAAGAGACTGTCCCAACTTAGGCACAGATGCAATAAATGAACCTAAATGTCCTAACTTAACCCAGCTTATTATAATGTCATTAACATGACAATAACATTGTGGTTTTAGCCCCCACCATGGGTTTTGCTTAGGCAAAATAACCAAGATGTAATCATTCTGGCCAACTCCAGGCTTGCACAAATACAACACCCCTAGGAGGGAATTTGCCTCTCTCATTCCGGCAAAACCCACAGAAAACTAACTGGCTTCTGCCATATAAAAGACCCAGAAATCAGTCCCATTTCTGGCAACCTGCCTTCAGGCCCCTTCTATTTGCTGAGAATTTTCCTTTTGCTTAATAAATCCTACTCTACTCACTCTCCAGTGTCCATGTGCTGTATTTTTCTTGGTTGTGGGACAAGAACTTGGACATAGCTAAACTAGGGACTAAGTAGACTGTAACAGTGATATTTACTGTAATTATTCATATAATTGGATTTAGTTATACTTTAAAAATTGTTTTGTCCCTTATGTTTTTATTCTTATATATCTCTTTTCCTGCGTCATCAGAAATTCCTTTAAAATTTTTTATTAGCTTTCAATCTATATGTCTTTGCATTGTTTTTAATATTTAGTCTGGAATTTGTATCATACAATCATTACTTTTCACATTTTAATTGGGGTTCATATTGTACAACTTTTAAAAAAGGGAGCAAATGAAATACACACAAACACATGCATAAGATGTATATACATTCTCTCTCTCTCGATATATCTACACATAAGAGATACACATAAGTATATCTATGTATAAGTATATATATACTTACATAGATACATAGGTCTATGTAGATCTATATATTATTGATATAGATATCTACAGATACACCTATATAGATATATCTATAGATATATACAGATACACCTATCTATAGCTATCTATAGATACATCTACTTATAGATGAACCTAAATGTCCTTAACTTAACCCAGCTTACTATCATGTCATTAACATGACAATAACATTGTGGTTTTAGCCCCCATCGTGGGTTTATAGATGTATCTATAGATCTATCTATCTATATATAATTTATTTCCCCCTTCAAGTAACACATCCATTCTTGAAAAATGTATATATCTATGAATCTCTATAGATATAGATATACATAGTTATAATTATAAACACACTATTAGCAGAAGAAAAAATGCTACTCCAAATATATAATAATTTTACTTTGAAATCAATTTCTATTTTAATTATATATGTTTTACAATTTTACTCATATATTTAGAAAGATAGCTATAGAACTATACGTTTTTCAAGAATGGGTGTGTTACTTGAAGGGGGATAATAAATTTTTCTGTAATATATTGACTTATTTTTAAACATGGATATGCAGTTTTGTGATTTATAGCAAGCTAGTAATATGTGAGAAAAATGTAAAAACTATCCAATAAAATATAAATTGATTTCAAAATAATAGTATTATATATTTGGAGTAGCATTCTTTTCTTCTGTTAATAGTGTGTTTCTAAAATTATATTCTTTATTTGGGAGTATTTTACTTGCCTATATTTAATTATTTTAAACCTTTTATTAACTGTTATGAATATTGTATTATCTTTAATTGTCCACATAATAGTGAATCAAGATTTTAAAATATAACAGCATTGTAACAAAATTGGATATACCAATGACTATTTTCTGACAGTAGCACATTGATATAATTTTTATATACATTATTATGCAATAAAAAGTCAAGTTAATTGCAAGCAGAAGTTGAAAATCAAGTTTAAATTAATCAAAAATTTAATTAAACTAAATGATCTTTGACTAGCAGCAGTTTTCTTGGCTGAGGGTTAAAAAATAAAACCATAATAGAGAATTTTTTTTTAAGATGGAATCTAGCTGTGTTGACCAGGCTGGAGTGCAGTGGTGTAATTACAGCTCACTGCAGCCTCAACCTGCCAAATTCATGCCATCCTCCCACCTCAGCTTCCTGTATAGTTGGGACCACAGGTGCATGTCACCATGCCCAGCTAATTTGTATAGAAACTGAGTTTTGCCATGTTGCCCAGACTGGTCTCAAACTCCTGGGCTCAAACAATCCCGTCGCCTTGGCCTCCCAAAGTGCTGGGATTACTGGTGTAGGCAAGGATGCCTGGCCTAGTAGAGAACATTTTTTTCTGTACTATATAGCTTTCAATATAGTGGGAGTAATAGACAAGTATAAAATAATCAATTTGATATAGGGAAGATTAGGTTACACATGAGAAGAATATGTAAATTAGACTGAAGGAATAAGTATATTTTGTATTATGTTTAAAACTTTGTGTAAGGAGATATGAATAGTTGAATAAATTACTTGTACAGGAATTAATATCATATCCTGCATAATGAATTCTCAACAGATGGAGACGTATTCCAAAGTGCCTCTGTCTTAATCTTAATAATTAGTGGGATTCTAGACTTCCACAGGTCAATTCTACAACTAGCCCATTATTTCTGCGGTTTTATAATTTTTAAATATAAATACGTAAGACTTTTCTTTGTTGTGTAGATTATGAAAGAAAACTTGAGAAAATTAATTCTTAATACAAACAAAAACAACAAAATGCATTTCTGTATTTATATTTAACAATAGTCATTTCAAAAAATCTGTTATGATTTGTTTTAAAAATAAATTCAATGCATGAACTAAAATAGTGCTTATTAATATAGTATTAATATCCAACAACACTGACATAAATATATTTTTCCTTAGGGATTATATGTTATTATTCTGAGATCTAATTTCTAATTTTTTTTAGTGCTTAAGTTTTGAAATTGTGCTTGTGATGCTTCTTGCTTTTCCTTGTTCATTTTGTTTTATTGATATTTGTTAAGAAGCATATTGGATTGGCTACTTTAGCATAATTTTTCTTCTTCTTACCTAGAAAACATCTTAAAATAACTTATATCTCATCACTCAAATCAATTTTAAAGTTATTTTATGAAATTTACATGCTACAGACCCTTTTTGACCCTGGTCCTACTCATATAACATTTACAAGTCCTTTCTACAAAAAAATTGCTAGGCCTTTACCCTGAAAAGAAAGTGATATTTTTAGCAGCTGAAAATAACAGGCTTTGCCTTATGATTTGATTTCATCTTTTGTTTCTTAAATAAAACTGTACTACCCTATTTTCATAATGTTTTGATCAACCTATATAGAACAATGAGCACTAATTGACTAATCTCGTCTTCAGGACTTCTGTTATTATATGCTCAACAGAGACTATTTTATAGATAATTTCAGCTCCAACAGTTTTTTTTTTTTTAAACCTCTGCTTTATACCTCCTGTACCAGTAGATCTCAGTCCTTCTGAAATAATGTCTCCTTGTAATTATAACAACTGTGTAGTTTTATTTAGTGACATGAAATCCATGTGTTCTAATGAAGGGATAATGAAAAAAAGGGCCCTCATTTAATAATACCACAAGGCTAGCACTCTTGCAATATTTGTTATTATAATATATATGGTATTTTTTTTTACAATATATTAATGATATCAGCGTTTCAGGTATCAGGTATCTGCATCTCCCACTGCATTCTTTGATCATCTTGAAACAGATACCTGTTATGAATAAATTGACTTCAGTTCTCAGAACATGACAGATAACTTTGTTATTACTCATAGTTTCAGTGTTCCCTACCTACTTTTTTGTCTAGTGCATATCTACTCATGCTTTAATATTATGCTCAAGGGCAGCCCTCTTTATATTTTATTTAAATCCCAGATAGATTTTACTGCCACATTATTTTTTATTTCTCCTGGATTTTACACAGTGTGGTTCTGAATGGCCAGTAACTATTACCCTTTAATTTCTTTCTGTCATTCACAAATATCTGAGAACAAACACATGAAAAAGATACCGAAGAGAGAAGATAAGTTTTAATACTAATTGAGCAGATTAGAGTCATAGCTTTGGATACAGAGATGGCTAATATTTCCATCCCTTCTCTCAAAGGGTTGCTGACACAGCTGGACATACACAGTGCCCTTGTGAGGGAGAGTCAGCAAGGTGAAATTGACACAAAGGGTGAGCCAATATATTCTATGCCAAACACACACCTTTTTGTTTCCAAACTCAACAATCAGGTAAGTCAAAATGGAGAAAGAAATGCTAAGTCAGAAAGACACCAGTGAAAAATAAAAAAAGTGAGGAATGAGGAATATATGTTCACAGTAAAATTTCATGCCATTGATAAGGTGGAGAGAGAATTTAGATAAAGAGAGGGTTATGATCAACTTTCTCCAAGATATATAGCTTAAAAATGCAGCAGTCTTTCAGCCGGTAGAACAGAGTAGAGCTGACCTTGGCCAGCTGACCTGGGCAGAATGAAGCAACTCCTGCCACAGAATAGCATTTCATCCTTGCATCCTGCACTGGGACCATCATGTGCTTTTGATGAAAGTCAAGAATAAACCCTAATCTCAGCTCATACAAGACATTAGAAGTGCCTTTTTCTGCTATTCCTACTCCCATTTAATTGTGTCTTTTGATGTTTGGCTGGGAGCTTTGGCCTGGATCCCTGTGGAATTTGCCTGATTCGTTCACTATATCATCCAAAGCTGGACACACACACCACACACACAGATACACAGACACACACATGTACATAGAGAGACACACAGAGAGAGAGACTCTAAGCACACACTCTGTTTATTCCACAGGTCGTTGTGCCTGCCCTGCCTGGGTGTTTTTTCAAAATCTTGTGGATATGAAACTATAGACGGTGTTGTGACCTCTGCTGCAGTGGCTTGGAAATTCACTGGCAGCGGGCACAGGTGAGGTTGGGGGAGGGAAAAAGCAGCTTAGAGATCAGAGCATCCTGAGTAGCATATTTGGACATCTGGAATTATTTCATAAACTATTTTTTGGTGAAGTCCGTATTACTGAAATCAAAACAAATTAATTAATAGTTGGCCCTAGTAAATTATTTGGTAGAGAAGTAGAAGATTGGGTGTATATGACACTGACAAAACGGACATTCTGCATTCAGGCATTTTTGAGCACAAAATATGAAATCCCAATGGCACGTGCATGTGTATAAATAATATACTCCAATTCATTTGTGGTATAAATATTTGTAAGCCATTTACATTGTTAAAATATTAGATATGTGTGACTAAATTATAAAGATCTTTGCCAACCTTGAAGAATTTTAGGGTACAAAAGAAAAGAGTTAAACATTATTTCCTCAATAATATTTGAGTTTAGGCATACTTGTTTTCGGAGTATGTTCTTTAAAAGGAAAGAAAACATTTGTTCAATTGTTTCTATTAATTATTTTCAGTAATTGTCTTTGAACACTGTGTATAATTCAGCTCTGTGGTAGACATGGATACACTATAGAAAAGAAAACCGTGCCTTTAGGGATTTATAGTCAAGTGAGGGAAATCAATATTAAAAGTAATCTCTCTCTCTGTCTCTGTTTCTCTCTTGCATATACACACTCACTCTCACCGGTGTCAATTTCATAAAAAATATGAAGTGATGCAGAGAAAATATTGAAGGGGACCAATTCAGTGTGGAATTCAGAGAAGGCCACTCTGGAAAATTACTTCATATGCTAATATATGAGGTGTGAATGGAGGTCCGTCAGTCTATGATAGAGCTTCATCACTCTAGAACAACTCTCTTCTGGAGATGAAATAGGAGGCTCAATAATGCAGTTATGGAAGGGACATAGGCAAGTGTCAGTTATCTTGGTAGATTTCTTCAAATAATTATTGGTCATAAAACTCCAAAGACGATAGATTGCTCCAAAGGTCTGTGTAAGCAGAGATAGGGCAAAGAATTGAGAGTAGGATAGCCAAAGACAATGATGTGTCCCAGAATAGAAATGGAAAGAAATTAGATGCTTCGGTAATATGAAAGAAAAAGACATTATTATCCAATAAGAATTTGAAAGACATGAATAAAAAGAGTTAAAAATGTGTGACATAAAGCAAATTCATAATTTTAAAAATGCTTCTGGGTGTAAGATACATTGAATATCGCCAAGCAATTAATAGATGTTAGGTCAAGACTTTCAAATAATTAATTTATACTTTAAGCAAATTCTTTCTTCTGAAAAGTTCTCCAAAAAATAGTAATGTGACATTTGGAGAATTATGTTTAAGATATTATTGTAGAAATGATAAACTGAGATTTTGGTCAGCAAAACAAGTGCAAGGGTAACAAAAATACAATAAGTCTTCTGAAGAAGTCAGTGTTCCTAAAATAATTGGTCTTCATATTGAATTTTCATAAAGTAGATATATCGATTACTTACATAAACTTTGACAGAGTTATTCAATGTACATTTACAGAGAAATGAAATATAAATCTCTATTAAATAAATAAGTGAATTAGTTTGAAATTACTCCATTGTTTTGGTGGCATAATTTTTAAAAATTGACAACTAGAATATAACACATTTCTAAATTTCTTAGATTTACTTCGTAAACTTAACAGTATACAGAAACATTATTGATTATTAATAATTAAACGGGAAAATTTTTGAGAAAATAAATCATCTTTTTTTGATCTTTTTGAGACCATTGGCTTACAAAACAAATCTAATTTTGCTTACATAGAAAATAAAAAAGGGAACAAGCTTTCAATGCCACAGGTTTTGGATCTGGAGCTTTTTTAAACAGAGGTGATTGTGGACACAGGGAAACGTAAAATGTCTAAGGCTGGCTCCAGCATTTGTCATTGGAGGATTGTGATATTAAGATTTTATAACTCTATATGATTGACATGAGGTTATCAGGTAGAAAACATGAATTTATAGCATGTCATGATTAGCAACAGAGGCAAATAAAAACAGCAATATTATCTCTTTGAAGGAGAGTATTTTTCTGTTTTTCTTAAGTTTTAGAGTAAGAAATATAAAACTTTTGGCCTGTAGATTGGCACAGTATTCAGAGCTATAGTAATCCCTGCTGGTTAAGATTGTTTAGCTGCCCCAAATTCTTCCCTTCTGGTCTCAATGAGATGACAAGGTAATTGAATATGCACTTCATTGCCCTTCTTCAGGGATGAAATTGATGAGCAATAGATGGAATATGCTCCACTTCAGAAGTAAACGTATCAGTTAAGCTTGTTCAGAAATGTTCATGTTTGAGAAACAATTCCAAATAAGCAATCTGAAAATATGAATTTGTGCGTATAAAATATACACATATATGTATATTGTGTGTGTGTGTGTGTGTAGTTTAACCTCATTATTCATGAATTCTGTATTAGTGAATTTTCCTATGTAGTAAAATTTATCTGTAATCCCAAAATCAATACTTGCAATGTTTTCATGGTCATTTGTGGACACGTGCTAAACAGAAAAAAATTGTCTCAGAAGACACACAAGTCTTGTAACATTGCTGAGAAGAGGCTAAATTGTTACAAACACTGTGGCAAGCTTCTTGGCAACATTTACTAAATATGTATATATGCATATTCCTGCAATACTCTCCTGGAAGATACTCAGCAGGCATGCATATCTGTATATAATAAATGACATTTATAAGAATTTTCATATATGCATTAATTATAAAAGTCTCAAATTAAAAAAAACCCATCCACCAATAGATGAATAAATACATGTAGTTAGGTATAATATATTAGTAATGAAGAATAAAATATAACAGTAAAAATAAACTGCTACTGCACAAATTTTCACTGCTATATTTTATTCCATATTATTAATATACCAAGATGTCACAGGTACACTTGGGAGTGTCTTTTGATGAATATCAAATGTTCTTAATTTTATTATAACCCACATTATCAATCTGTTTTTTAGGATAGGTTCATTTGTACCCCATTTAAGTGTTTTATGATGCCAGTGTCCTGACAATATTCTATGTTTTCCTATAGAAACTTTAATGTTTTATATTTTACATCTAGATAGTATTGCATCTGAGGTTGATGGAAATAAGATTAATTTTCACTCATGGTCCTATCGACCTGGCTCTATTCACTGAAGGCTTGTTTATTCCCATGACTGTTCAATATCCATTTGTTCTAAGTCAAGACTCTGTTTGTCTGGGCTTGTTATTGATCCTATATTATATTGTGTTGGCCTTTTTTTTATATTTCTGCAAAAAGTGATTTGTTAATTAAAGCAGGTTTTCATGGGTCTTGTTATTTGGAACTTGATTTCCTCCTGCTTAATCTCTTTGTGTTATATTTTCTAGGCCTTTTAATTCTCTAATAAATTTTGGACTCACCCTCTCAGTTTTCACATACACAAAACTATTGAGATTTGGATTGAGATTATATTCTATATATGGATCAAATCATAGAGAATTAACCTTATAATATGAAGTCTTATAACCCATAATTTTTATATATCTCTCAACTGTTTTGCTCTTTTAATATTTTTAATAATATAAGTTTTCCATGTAGAAGTCTTATACATTTTTATTGGATTTATTTTCAAGCATTTTATATTTTATGTTGTCATTTCAACTTAATTGAATTTAATTTTCAAATTGTTTATTATGTACAATGGATTTCTGTATATTGAACTTTAATCAAGTTATGTTGCTGATCTCACTTTCAATTCTTCTTTTTTATGTACAAAATTATGCCTGCAAACCATAGCAATTTTGTTACTTTTAACTTCTTATAAATTATATTTACTTTAATGTATTATTGAAATAGCTAAAATCTCTGGAAAAATGTCAACATTGAATAGTAATTGCAGCTAATATTTTCTCCTTTTTTATTCCTAATATCAGTAATTTCTACTTTCTCACATTCTAAATCTTCCTCTAAAATTTGGGCTTAGTTAACTTTTATTCTTTGCTTCCTGGTATACACACACGTTTCCCAAGCATTCAATGAAACACTAATTTTCTGCTGTTGTGAAGGAATTTTGCATTTGTAAGTAAAGTCCAAAGTCAGTTGATTTAAGAGAGAGAGGTTATCCTCAGTCTCTCTGATCTAGTCAGTGATCATTTTAAGAGTACCCTATTTTTCCCAGAAAAAGATATGAATTATGAGAGAGATTTGATGTGAGATTCTCCACTGCTGGCTTTGAAAATGGAAGAGGCCTCACATGGCAAGGACCTGAAGTAGCCTCTGGGAGCTAAGAGTGATTGACCATTGTCCTGTGGCCTCAAGAAAATCAGGAGTTCAGTCTGCAACTACAAGGAGCTGAACGCTGCCAACAACCTCAATGACACTGGAAGAACACACTGAACTCCAGAGAACACAGCCCAGGCCAATACATTGATTTTAGCCGTGTGAAACCTATTGTAGATAACTCAGTTGTGCTGTGCTTAGACTTTTTTTTTTTTTTTTTTTTTGAGACGAAGTATTGCTCTGTCGCCCAGGCTGGAGTGCAGTGACACGATCTTGGCTCACTGCAACCTCCGCCTCCCGGGTTCAAACGATTATCCTGCCTCAGCCCCCTGTGTAGCTGGGATTACAGGCACCCGCCACCATGCCCGGCTAATTTTTGTATTTTTAGTAGAGACAGGGTTTCACCATGTTGGCCAGGCTGGTTTCGAACTCCTGACCTCAAGTGACTGCCCGCCTTGGCCTCCCAAAGTGCTGGGATTACAGGCGTGAGCCACCGCGTTCTGCCACTGTGCTCAGACTTCTGACATAGAGAACTGCGAACTAATAAATGGCTTTTACAGCACTAATTTTTTGTTAGTTTATTACACAGCAATATAGAAAACTAATAAATATCAAGTGAAAATGAATTGTTTGCTTCTAAGCACTTGATTTAGATAAATCCTACAGGTTTGTTCATGTAATTAAAAATATGTGTAATTTCCATTGTAAGTTCTTTATTCTTTTTTAGTGATTACTCGAGATGATAGTATGCATTTTTAAACTGATATTGATAACATTCTTTACTATTTCCTTGATAATGCTAAGCTCTTAGCAACTGCATTCCACATCCTTTTGTCTGTATGCCATTGTTGACATGCATTTTAATTCTGTATATATTTTAAATACAGTAGCTATAATTATTATTTTTATTTCACCAATTAGCATACATTTAGATATTTCCAAATCTTTAAGCATTATGTTAGTCTTCAGTTATTTCTGCCTATTATTTGTTCAGTATCAGCTTTCTTAGGATAGGTTCTTATTTACTAGTACTTATTAGTATTTTTTTTTGTTAGCATATTCTAATATTGTTTGAATGGAATAAATTTTTTTACCTTCACTTTGAAAATATATTTATTTTCTATATAATGAATTATCATTTGGTATATTCTCTGTCAATACTTTTAAAATGTTATTCCACTCTTTATTTTTTCCAACATATCTGTTGACAGCTCCCAGTCTTCCTGCTTCTCCTTTAAAGGCACCTATGTGTTTTCTCTGGCTCGTTTTAAAATCCTTCCCTCCCCTCTTTCTTGAAATTATTAGCTTTTTTTTTTTTTTTTTTTTTTTTTTTAGCAGTCTATCCCTCCTTCTTGGAATTATTAGTTTTAAACTGTTCTTTAATAACTCTAATGAATTTTGAAAAATTCCTGCCCCAAATCCCTCTCAATATTGCCTCTGCATCATTCTTCCTTTCTTTTCTTCTACTGCAAAAATAATTACACAAATGCTATTTTTTAATTATTTTTTTATTTTTTTATTTTTTAGACGGAGTCTTGCTCACTCTGTCGCCCAGGCTGGAGTACAGTGGCGCCATCTTGGCTCACTGCAAGCTCTGCCTCCTGGGTTCACGCCATTCTCCTGCCTCAACCTCCCTAGTAGCAGGGACTACAGGTGCCTGCCACCATGCCTGGCTAGTTTTTTGTATTTTTAGTAGAGACGGGGTTTCACCATGTCAGCCAGGAAGGTCACGATCTCCTGACCTAGTGATCCACCCACCTCAGCCTCCCAAAGTCCTGGGATTACAGGTGTGAGTCACTGCGCCCGGCCAACAAATGCTATTTTTGCTTTGACCCTTTTCCTACTTATATTCATTTTTGCTTTTTACTTTCCACCTTTTGTTTTGAACTTATCTCCAAATTCACTCTCTTCTGCATGCCTAGTCTACTGTTCAGCCTATTTATTTTTTTATTTCACTCATTTTACTTTTCATTTATTTATGTTTTAAAATAAATGCATAATAAATTTATGTATTAAATAAAAATTCTCTATGAAAGTTTATATCCTATAATATTTCTTTTTCTTTTAATAGCTAAACTTTATTTTGTAAAGATACAACCCCTGTCCTTATAGACAAATACAACCTCCCCAACTATCAACATCCCATACCACAGTGGTACACTTCTTACTATTGATGAGCCTACCTTGACACATCATTATTACCCAAAGTCTGTAGTTCACATTAGGACTCACTCTTGGAGATGTACATTCTGTGGGTCTTGACAATGACATATATCACCATCACAGTATCATACAAAATAGTTTTCTTGCTCTAAAAATCCTCCATGCTCTTCTTATTCACCTTTTCCACCCTCTACAAGCACCTGCAACCCAACATCTGCAACCATTGATCTTTCACTGTCTCCTTTGCTGTCCTTTTCCAGGATGTGATATAGTTGGAATCACACTATGTACTCTTTTCAGACTGGCTTCTTTCCCTTAGTAATGTACACTTAATTTCCTTCCATGTCTTTTCATGGCGTTTAGCTCATTATTTTTAGCACCAAATAATATTCCACTGTCCATTTGTACCATTCATCTACTAAAAATAGAAAAACATATTTTCTTCCAAGTTTGGCAATTGTGAACAAAGGTGCTATAAACTTGTATGTGCAAGTTTTTAAGTAGACATAAGTTTTTGATTTCTCTGGGTAAGTACTAAGGAGCATGACTGCTGCATTCTTTTTCTTTTTTTTATTTGTTTTTCGACAGAGTCTTGCTCTGTCCCCCAGGCTGGAGTGCAGTGGCACCATCTCGGCTCACTGCAACCTCTGCCTCCCGGGTTCAAGCGATTCTCCTGCCTCAGCCTCCAAAGTAGCTGGGAGTACAGGTGCCCGTCACCACGCCCGGCTAATTTTTTCCATTTTTAGTAGAGATGGGGTTTCACCGTGTTAGCCAGGATGGCTTCCATCTTCTGACCTTGTGATCCACCCACCTCGGCCTCCCAAAGTGCTGGGATTACAGGCCTGAGCCACTGCACCTGGCCGACTGCTGCATTCTATAGTAAGTGTATGTTTAGTTTTATGAGAAAATATGAAACTGTCTTCCAAAGTGGGTATACCATCTCGCGTTCCCACTAGAAATGAACGAGAGTTTCTGTTTCTCTGCATCCTTGTCAGCCTGAAGTGTCAGGGTTCTGGATTTTAGCTGTTCTAATATGTGTGCTGTAGCATCTTGTTTAATTTGCGGTCAAAGACGATCCCCCAGTAGTGGTATGACATTCTCTTATCATCCATATTGGTGACATGGTCTTCTTTTTCTTTGTTTTAAAGTGCTATTTTGGGTTTGGGGTACATGTGCATGTTTGTTATATAGGTAAACTCATGTCCAGGGGGTTTTGTATATAGATTATTCCACTGTGTGATCAATTCAATATCTAGACCACCTGTCCATCTTTGTCTGTAGTCCATATGACTTATTACTTTCTGTTCATTAATTTCTAATTATAGGTGTGTCAAGTAACAATTGCTTAGACTAATTGGTGTGTTTGAAAAACTGGTAATTTAAGGTTTTCTCTGGTATGTTCTTTCTCCAGACAAAATTTATTTTTACTCTCTACAATATACTTAGGCCATTTTATTCAAATTTGATAATGAGCTTGTTTGATGTTACCTATCATTTGTTCCTAAGTGGTCACACATTTCTAGTATTCCATTTCACTGAGAGCCTCAACTCTTTAGCCTGGGCTTTCTATTAAGACTCTTCCTCATTGATAGGCACTGTATGCTCATTCTTGTCCTCCCACATCATAACGCTGTTGCAATATTTTATAGGATTTCTAAGTTCTTAATTTTCCTTATTTTCTCTTTTCATTCTTACAGTTCGGTCTCCCATTAGTGAAACAAACAAGCAAGCAAACTGTAAACATTTCAAAGAAAAAAGCACCAAAGATGACACCTACTCTCAAATGACTTTTATTTTTTTTCTGAAATCTTCGGCTGCCTTGTTTACTCTCTGGTCCATTCAAATAGATATTTATGCTGCTGGTATTCAGTTTATTTCTCAAAGAAATATTGATATGAAATAAGCATAATTTTCTTTTTTAAAGAATTGATTCTCTTTTCTCCCCTCACCATCCATCTCTGATTTCTGGGGAAAGGTGATACACAAGACCTACTTCAGGCGAAATACTTTTGGATAAAGCTGATCAGGGTTCACTCAGAAATATCTGAGTTGTAAATTTCTTGTGTTATCTTTTGTATACTGGAAGGGAAAAAAGAGAACATTGATGGGAATAAAACTAAAATACAGGCTTGTTATCTATGTCAAAGAAAATGGTCTAATTATAACATGAAAGAAAAATTGATAGAAACATTCAAAAGGGGAAGGTTAATTAACCAATCAATATTAAAATGACATCCAACTTAAAAAGAAAAATCTACTGTCAGTTAATTGTCTTTTTCTTTCATTTGAAAGCATTATTTAAAATGGTCTGATTCCATATAAAATTCTTTGCTACTGTTTAGAACCTGGGAATCTCACACATGGTATTTGTTTCTATAAATAACTTATTATAACAAACATTTCTAGTTTGTATTTACATTAAACAAATGTATTCGAGTAGAAGCTAAGTCAACAGTTTACCCAAGTTTCATAATGGAGAATACCTATACTCTGAAAATATTGTCAATAGGATCCTGAAGGCATAGACTGAAACATGCAAGAAAACAATCTAGGAGTTCTATTATTTATACTGACAGTGTTTATACCTGAGTATTTTTCATTTGGGTCAGGCATTTAATTTTTCTGGGCCACGTATTTTCACATCTATTTTATAATTCAAAAAACTGAACCAGATAATTGTACAGTCTCATTCAGTTCACACATTCCATTGCTTCCTGGATTGATGCCTAATTCAATAATATATTAATCACCACACCCCAAGCCATCAGGGAGTGCTAACTAATGGATGAAGGAGAAGCTGAAAAGTATAGTTTCCAAAAGCATAATTTTATACAGTAAAGAATTCACTGTCTCCTTAGCTTTGGTGTAGAAAATGAAAAGCCCACATTGAAGGGCTGCCAAAACATTTATACATAAAAACAAAACCCAGACACTTTGATTCTGTATCTACACAGAATCTGTTATAAGCTAATATGGAATATAGTTATTTCTTGATACAAAATATTGAAAAATCTATTTTAATCAGAATTCTTGGTTATGTGATAAATACCATGAAACTTCATGGTACTGCATATATAAATTATATTTAATCTTTTTTTAATAGTGTGACTTTTACTTTCTCATATTTCTTTTAGCATCCCCTTTAAAATATTTTTATTTATATTTTGTGACTGATAATGTGTTTTTGCTAAAGTTGGGTTCTTATTAGGAGACTCATTCAACATTTTCGTTATCTACTCAAATTAAATGATGTTTTGGTGACTTTCTATCAAAATACTGGCATAAATTACAACAGCATCAATAGAAATACCTAATGAAAGAATCGTTATGCACAGCTTTATATATTTTATTCAGATTAATTAGATATCTTGGAACAAATAATATATATTATCTAATGATTCATATATATGAAATTATAGTTACTTTTTAAACTAAACATTTGTCAATATTTTAAAGTCTATGATCAAAATTAATATTTATTATAAAAGGGTTGTATAATAGTTATAATTTTTGCTCTTAATATCATCTAATAATTAAAATATCTGCATATTTTTGGTGACTTAGTCATTGGAGATATATTGTTATTTTTAAATAATAGCATTCTCTTTCTTTCCCTTGTTAATTAAAACATTCCTGGTTTCCTCTGATTAAATCCACCTTTTATATACTTAAACATAGAAGGCATAGCTCTTTGGGGAAACAAATAAACAAGGTTGATTAATATTGTCTTCATCTAGATTTTCAAGCACATTCATTCTTTGCCCATTAAACTGACTTTTTAAAGACTCTAGGAGAAGATACAGGATGACTTTTTTTGTCTTTTGCATTTTGAGGCAGTATATTTATATAAACATGAGCATATATATGTAGAGCCTGATTGTTTCAAACTGAACAAATCCATTACCTAGATAAAAAACAAGACATAATTAGCATTGAAGGAACCTGGCATTACATCCAAGGGTTAACATTATATTGCTGACATAGACTAGACTTTTGTTTCCTTGTTTATGCTTTACATAAACAGAGCCACATGCTATGTACACTTTTGTGTGTCCCTTTTGTGCTCAATATTATGTTTCTAATCATGTAGTTGTAATTTACATTTTCATTGAATTCCATTATGAAAATATATCACAACTTATCCATTCTACTGTTGATGTGTATTTGGGTCATTTTAAAGTTTGGGTTACTATAGTAGTAGTACTATGAGCATTTTAGAGCACTTGTTTTGGTGAAAGTGAGTCACACGGCCGAAACTAGAGTTGATGTTACAAATTAAATACTGAGAGGCATGATTCATTGAAAGCCATCCAAACATCAATCAACAATATATCATGCTTTTTTTTTCTTTTTTCTTTTTAGAGACAGGGTCTCACTCCGTTACCCAGGCTGGAGTGCAGTGGCACAATCATAGCTCACCGTAACCTTGAACTCCTGGGTTCATGGGATTCTCCCACCTTGACCTCCCAAAGTGGTAGGATTACAGACATGAGACATCACGTTCAGACCTACAGTGCTTTTGATTGACAAGAGTGAGAAAATAGCATTTCTGAAACTGGTCATCTAAATATCTACATTCCAAGATTTTTCTATTACAAAATATAATGAGAAACACATTTATAATAGCAACAAGAATATTTAAATAACAGAATTATTCTAAAATGCAAAGGAAAATACAATGCACAATATAAATTTATAAAAGGCAATGAATATGTATGCATGCATATGCATACATACATACATACATTATGTATACATATATCCATGCAGTGTGTGTATGTGTCTGTGTGTGTATATATATACATATCATATACCTATATCATATATCTGTGGTACATATGATATATACACCACATACATATATATCACATACATATATAAAATATATACATATCATATATATGTGTGTTTACATAAATATATATGATATGGTTTGGATCTGTGTTCCCACCCAAATCTCATGTTCAATTTTAATCCCTAATGTTGGAGGTGAGGCCTGATGGGAGACGATTGGATCATGGGGACGGGGTTCTCCTGAATGATTTAACACCATTCCCTTGATGGCTGTCCTTGAGATAGTGAGTGAGTTTTCATGAGATCTGGTTGCTTCAAAGTGTGTAGCACCTCCCACCTCCTTCTCTCTCTTGCTGCTGCTCCTGCCATGTAAGATGCTTGCTCCTGTTTTTCCTTACATTGTGAGTAAAAGCTCCCTGAGGCCTCACTAGAAGCAGATGCTGCCATGCTTCCTGTACAGTCTGCAGAACCATGAGCCAATTAAACCTCTTTTCTTAGAAGTTACCCAGACTCAAATATTTCTTTATAGCAATGAAAGAACAGACTAATACTACATCCAACTTTAAAACTCAAGTTAAAGATAATTTCTAGGTTGAATATTGCATAGGTATCCAATACTGATGGTTTTTTTCCATATATATATATATATATATATATATATATATATATGTATGTATATACACACACACATATATGTGTGTTCATATATTTGATTTTTTCTTATTGAATTGAATAGGATGTTAATTACAGATATATGCGTATGTATGTGTGCACATACACAATCCCAAAGACTAATTTTAAAAATAATTGTATTTTGGTTTTTTGATAAATACTCAGGTCATCATATTATCTTTATATTTTCTATTTTTATGCTTGCTTCCTTTGTTTTTTATACAAAGAATTCTCCACCTAAACAAATGATGTGGAAAACATACCACTATTTTTCTTTAGTCTGAAACAAATAATTCCCGAACAATCAATCCTTCATGGTTTGATAAATACTCTCTTTGACTTCTCAGCCTGAGTCATTTTTATGTGATTATTTTTATTCTATTTAAATTCATACCTTGACTACATCTATATTCAAGTTGCTTGTTTTGAATTCTCTTTCAGTAAATGAATTCTCCATGGAAATTCTTAATTTCACCGGATTTCAAATTGATTGTTAAAGATTCATACATACATTCACAAATCATTTCAATCCTCCACTCAATCTTATGCATGTCTCCTACTCCTTAAAAATGTGATAATTGTGTTTTCTTTCATTTGTTTTTGGTAATATTTGACTATATTAATAATCTTTTAAAAATATTTATGCTATTGGTAAAATATATTATTTACGTTTTCTATAGGGTGACCTCAGTAGAGGGAGTTTTAATAATCAAATGGATAGAATGACCTGCTCTGTGGATACTGGTCATCCTCTTTCACCAGCCACCCCTCTCATCGCCTAGTGAGCTCATGAACATGGTGATCATCGTGGCAAGGATGGTAGTTACGTGTGGGCTAAGCAACATGGACTTCCACTCACTAAGGCTGATGTGGTGCAGCCACTGCTGAGTGCCCCGGTTGCCAGCAGCAGAGACCAACACTGAGTCCCTGATAAAGCACTATTCCATGGCAAGCTGATTACATTAGACTAATTGATCATGGAAGTAGCAACATTTTGTTTTTATCAGAATAGACACTTACTCTCAATATGGACTTACCTTCCCTTCATGTAACGCTTCTGCCAAAACAACCATAATATATTATGGTTTTTCGTAAATACTCAGGTCGCCATATTTTAGGCATTGCCTCTGATCAAGGAACATAAATAATCCCATGGTTGTTGAATTTATTCATTTTACTATGTTCCCCACAATCCTCACAGTGTTTGATAGAAAAGTGGCATGGCTTTTGAATACTAAGTTACAATGTGAGCTAGCTGGCAATACCTTGGAGGGCTAGGATAAAGTTATTCAAAAGGCTTATATGCTCTAAATCTACATCCAATATATAGTACTTTTCTTCCCCATAGCCAAGATTCACTGGTCCATGAAACGAGGTCTAGAAATGGGAGTGGCACTACTAACTATTTTACCCAGTGACCAACTATCAAAAGTTTTGCTTCTTGTACAATTTTATGTTTTGCTAGCGTAGAGGTCTTAGTTCCAAAGGGATAAGTGATTTCACCAGGAAACACAAAAATAATTCCGTTAAATTAAAAGCAAGGACTATGTGGACGCTTTGGGCTCTTCATGCTTCTGAATCAACAGGCAACTAAGGGAGTTACGGTGCTGACTGAAGTGACTGATCCTCACTGCCAATAGTAAATTAGACTTACTGAACAAAGAAGGAAAGAAGTGTATGTCTGGAATACAGGAATTTTTATTTATATTTATTTTATTATTATTTTTTTTTTGAGATGGAGGCTCGTTCTGTCGCCCAGGCTGGAATGCAGTGGCGAGATCTCGGTTCACTGCAAGCTCCGCCTCCCGGGTTCACACAATTCTCCTGCCTCAGCCTCCTGAGTAGCCGGAATGCAGGAATTTACAAAATTTACAAAAATTTTTTTGTATTTTTGGTAGAGACGGGGTTTCACCGTGTTAGCCAGGATGGTCTCGATCTCCTGACCTCATGATCTGCCCGCCTCTGCCTCCCAAAGTGCTAGGATTACAGGCGTGAGCCTCCGCCCCCGGCAGGAATGCAGGAATTTTTTTTTTTTTTTTTTTACCGTGTCTGTTAGTATTACCTTGCCTTATGATTAACATCAATGGAAAACTAGAGCAATATTATCCAGGCAGGACGACTAATGGCACAGACTCTCAAGAATGAAGGTTTGGGTCACCCCACTAGGTAAAGAACTGTGACCAGCTAAAGTGTTGCTGAAGGAGAAGGGAACACAGAATGTTTAGCAGAAAAAGGTAGTTAAAAATACCAGGTATGACCATGTGAGTAGTTAGAGAAATGAGGACTTTAATTCTCATGAGTACTTTTTCCTTACTTGGTTATGAATACGTGTGTGTATGTATATATGTGTATGTGTGTATGTATATGTATTTTATTTCATCTCTTAATCCTTTATCAGATGATTTAAGATGTATTGACTTTATGCCACAGTAATTAAATATTGTTAATTTTACATCACAGAATATAAGTTATGGGATATCAAAGAAAATCAGGAAATTTACCTCCTCTTCTGGGGAAAGACTAGTGCATTTTTGTTATATGAAGAATATTTTGATTGTTAGGAAGAACTGTGATCTTGTTACTGGCTTCATTTGAAGATTAGGCAGGGTATAAAGAGATAGATATAGGTGCCAAATTGACTAAGGGTGGACTTATAATGGTTAATCTTATCTGCCAATTTGACTCGGCCATGGGAAACCAGATGTCTGGTTGAACATTGTTTCTTCCTGTCTCTGTGTGTTTCCAGAATAGATTAACATGTGAGTTGATGTACTGAGTAAAGGAGATGCCCTCTTTGATATGAGTGGATGTCATTCAATCTGGGGAGGGCCTGAAAAGGCCAGAAATAAGGCATAAACTCAAACTCTGCATGATTCTTTAAGCTAGGACATCAATCTTCTCCTATCCTCAGGGATTCTGCTTCTTAGTTCTCAGGCCTTCAGACTTGAACTGGAATCTACACCATTGGCTCTCTGGATCTCAAGCAGTCAAACTAAACCACCAGCTTTCCCAGGTCTCCAAGTTACAGATGGCAGAATATATGACTTCTTAGTCTCCATAATTCCTTGAGATACACAGAGATGCACACACACACACTATATATGTATATAATCTCTTATTGGTTTTGTTCTCTGGAGAACCCTGACTAACACAGCTACCCTAATAAACAGGAAAAAAAATGGAACAATCATAATTGTTTCACTCATAAGAGGCAATAACTTAAATGGTAACAATTTGTTTATGGTTTCCAAAGTACTGAAGTACATGAGCAGGCAAAATTAATGGCCAGGTCCAAAGAATCCTAAATTGAGGGCTATAGTGGAATCCCAGATCCTCTTCCAATTTGAAACCAGAGCCATTCCATGGGCCCTTTTTTTTTTTTTTTCTTTTTTTTTGAGATGAGTCTGGCTTTTTTGCCCAGGCCGGAGTGCAGTGGCGCTCTCTCTGCTCACTGCAATCTCCGCCTCCTGGGCTCACTCCATGGGCCCTTTTAAATAAAGAGAAGGCTGAATTTTCTTAAGAAAGAACTCAGTGGAAATTGCAAAAGTAATCTTGCAGATAGCCTTTTCCAAAGGAACTTCAGATATTTTCACAGTGGAAAAGCATTGGAAAAAAAAAAGCATGGACATGTTATCTCAAAGAGATGCTGATGCTTAGGGACCCAAAACACCACAGTAGTGCACCAGCCAAAATTTGGGTTTTTCACTAAGATGATAATTGAAATATTTGCCTGAGTTTGTCTCATGATGGGCCAGCTGCTCTGTAATCTCATCTTGTTATTGAGTGATATGCTCCATATGCATACTTGCTAACTTGTAGAACTCCACATTATTCCTTTACCTTTGGAGCGAAGTTCATTATAATAGGATCAATCAAGTGAACTTTCTTCTTGACTAAGGCAGTACAGTGAAATTAATATCACATTCATGGAGAAATTGTAGAAAAAAAGTCACAATCAGAGACTTGAAAGGTATAAGGCTACTGATTTTTCTAAAATGTGTATTTCACTTCTTTGGCTAATGCAAAACTGTTTGAGATTATTTTAAGTTTAATCAGGTGCTATCCCTAATTGAATCTGCAGCTCCACATGTACTACAGAAAACTGACATAATCTCTGGAAACTTGTTTGAGGCTATCCATCTGTCAAATACAATTAAAAAAAAAATTAACGGTAAATATCACCAGGCATTCTTTTTTTCACCTAGCAAGAATAACAATAGACATTTATTGTTTTAATTCGCAACAACAATACCTTTTAGGGACTAAAAATTTCACAAGATATTAAATTGTTTCACTGTATTGATGAAGTTAAGCTACCTGGATTTTATAAGTGGGGGTTGCAAGCAACTTAGATAAACACTAAGACATGTCATTTCCAGAGCATGAGAAAATTCCCAATAATATTCCAGGGTCTGGCACCCCATTTAGTTTCCTGGATCTCAGAGGTTTGCAACAGCTGAGATATAACCTTTAAATAATAGGATAAACAGCTCTGACTTAGACAGCTTACTACTATGAAACAGAAATATTATGTATATCATGGCAAGGTAAGGTAAGAAATCACAGTGTAGACCCTAAAATCATTGAATGCCCAATTTTAAACAGTAATTCTTCAGAGAAACTGATTCTGGCTTATAGCTAGGTTCTGTTAGGTATTGAATGCCTGATTTTGGCTTGCTATGAGACCCAATAACCTTAGCTGCACATAATAACCATCATTTTGGATGTTGTATGATCAAAATTGCCATTAAACCGGGTATGGTCATCAGCTCCCCATCTTTAAGTGGAAGTGCTATATATGAGGTACTTCCTTCTGTTGTATTGTCAAATTTCCCTGTATTCATCCATACGTCCTCCTGGACAGTTCCTTATCACCAGAAAAGCTAACAATTGGTTTACAGATATTCCTACGAGATACCCTATCCCTTGTTGAAAATGGAGAAACTGAAGTCATTGTAGAAATAGCTTGAATGAAAGTAGAGAAAGTAAAATTTCCTATCTGCCAGAAATTCTAGTCATTCATGGGGTTGTCCACTTTGAATAAAAAGAGAGATTGCCATAGATAGAAATCTACCCTTGTTATGGTTGAGGGTCTCCAGGTTCTTGGCGTATTGAGCAAAGAATTGGACAAAATGCACAAACAAAGCAAGAAAAGAATGAAGAAACAAAAGCAGAGATTTATTGAAAATGAAAGTACTCTCCACAGGGTGGAAGCAGGCCCGAGCATAGGGGCTCAAGATCCCTGGTTACAGAATTTTCTAGAGTTTCAATAACTTCTAGAGGCTTCCCATTGGCTACTTGGTGTATGCCCTTTGTAAATGAAGAGGATAAAGTCAAGTTACAAAGTCATTTACTCAGTATGCCCCCTAAGTAAATGGAGAGGATGTTACTGAGTGTGTATTGTCTATATAAAAGGAGAGGAGAAAGTGAAGTTGCAAAGCCATTCACATTCCTGTCATTGCTGAAGTGTTTCCATTTGATTTAGTTCTAGGAAGTCATTGTAAATTGGCCTTATGTTCCCTGCCTCCAGACCCTATTCTCCTGCCTCACCCTCATTAACAGGCAAAAGTGATCTGACCAAGATGGTCTGACCACTTCCCTCAGCTTGACAAATTGCAGAGAGGTGTCTTTTTGCCTTTACAGCCCTTACAAAATCTAGATGACCTAACCAGAGAGATCTCTCACCTCATTTTTTTCAAAGTATTTAGTTTAGAAAACTTGTAATTGCAATTTTTTTCTGTCCTTTTGAAATATAAGGTTTTTTGTTTTGTTTTGTTTTTCAAAAAGCCTTTTGACAGTTTACAACCCAGTACTTTCTTTCTCAAGGATCTCAAAGCCATCCCTTTGAAATGTAACCATTAAAAAGATAGTGTTCCTATGCTAGTCTCTGAAGGAAGGTAGGGACCTAACTTCAGAGGGCCCCTTGTTCCAAGTTGTAAAACTATCTCCTGTCATGAAGATAAAAGAAAGTTTACTTTACTTTTGGGTAAGACCAATTACCAAATATGAATGACATATAATCCCCTCATACCAGCTTTTAAAAATTCTCTCATTATTTATGTCTTCAGTTCAGGTTGCTTTTTTTGTTTTTCTCTTTCATTGCAATAGCCTTAAATAGTTTTCCTTAAATGTTTAACTTTGTCCAGTAACATTTTTACTTCCACAGGTCAAAGACTTGGAAGCAAAAACATTATAAAATTTAATAACAGAAAGTCTGAAAAACGCAGTCTGTGGAAGAAACTGTGTGAATGGTCATATATTTTCAGAATATTTTTGCCTGTGTGAACGTACGCACACACACACACACACATCTTCAGAAAATGCTTTTAATAACTAGTTGAAAAAGACTCCATTATTTGAACGTCAGTCAGCTTTTTTTTTTTTTTTTTCTACCTGATACTGGGCTTAGTCAACTGGCTCATAAATAAAATGACCATGTTGATAGTGATGGATCTTATTCACAAGATTAACCACAGGGATTACCTTTTACAAAAGCTTATCTAGTTATCACCAGTGACATTCCTGACTATCCAAATGCAAAGGCTAATGCTGACCCTGAGCATAACACCATCCTCTGATAAACATTCTGTCATCTCTTGGCAAGTTGATGAGTTTGGGGTCTTTCATCACGGAGGAGTGTGAGTTTTCCTTTTTTTTGTTTTTTTTGTTTTTTTTTTTAAAATGCTTTCCTCCTGGAAGACTTTTTCACTTAAAACCAATATTCAAATGCCTTATTGTCAGTTATTTTGCTCTACAGGAAAATACTTCAAATCATTTACAACAAAGGAAGTGAGGCAATGTACTGACACCGGTCATAAGTGATTGCCGGAAGACGTATAAAAGATGCAATTATGTCGTCAGGTGGTGGTTGGAGTGTTATACTACAAGATAATACTCTTTGAATAACGGTATGAGTCTGAGAACAATGGGGTGGAAATAAAAGCCATAGAACTCTAAAATCATTATAATGCAAATATGAGGGTGTACACATGTTCATGAACTCACAGACAAAAAATAGTTGGGAAATATATCAAGTTATGTCTCCATGAGTGTGTCTGTGTGTATAGAAAACATTTGGACCTCTATATAAATGTGTAATTATCAATTTTTATTGGATATGTATTTATTTTAAATTAGAACCTGCATGTGTTAAAATGCAGGTGGGTTTGGTAGCCATTAACACCAAATCCACTATGTGCCAAGCTTTTTTTGTTCTAGCGTGTCGCTTCATACATGTTAGATGCTCATTCACTGTTTCTGGAAATAAGATTAAAAGTGGCATATAAGAGAATAAATTATAGCAAATCAGTAGTTATTTTACAACACTTTGTTTCTTAATTATTTTATATTTTGTTTTGGTTAAAAAATCTATACTAATCATACTCTGCAGTGACTCAAAGGCAAGATAATCACATACAAAATTACTTACTGTGAACCATATGATTCTTTTACCCCCTGCGTACATAACAGTTTTCCCCACTTTGCAAACCTAATCGTTAATCAGCGTGGATCTTTTCGAAATTACTTGTTTACACTAGTGGCTATTGAGCTACAGAGTGCACATTCTATTAGAGTGACCCAAAGCCCTCACAGCCAAAGCAGAAAAATCAGTGCGAAATTGCATGAGAGGGAACTGATAAATGCCTGTCTAGACACCCTGGGAACATTGGCATCATGATGTTACTTATTAGGTAGACCCCATGACATCAATGATGACACTAATAATAGCTCTGGCCTATATAGAACTATGTCTTTTTAAAGGTGATATGAATACATCATATAAACAATAACTAGCTTCAAATTTAAGTACAGTGACAACTGTATCTTGAAGAATTGATCTGTGATTTTCTCCTCTGTTTTCCTGTGGCTCTCTATTCTATCACTACAACTCCTAGCCTTGTGTATTTTCTTCTCCTAACACATAATGAGATGCCATATCTAAGATTCAAAGAAAAGACAGGGAACTGAACTTTTGAGAGAGAAATATTTACACAATTGCAATAAATATGTTTTTTCCTTGATACTAGATATGACTTTGCTTGGAGAAAGAAAAGGACTCATTTGAGGAATCGGGTAAACAAGAGAAAAGATATGAGAAGGACAGAAAACTGCAGGGAGTTGATACACAGTGTGGCTGTTTTCTATCAATGAGCTCCAGTTAGCCAGAGACAAACCTTGCAACCACCAGTTATCTGATAGGTTTCCTGTGGACAGCCTCCTATGTGATAGTCATGCACACTGCAAGCAGCATCCTTTTCCCATAGCAAATGGTAGTCTTGGGAAACATGAGTATGGTTGCTATTATAGGAAGAATCAAGAGAAATATTCCCTATGAATTAAAAAAGAGAATACCCAAAGTAATAATGAATAAAATCACAAACAGACTATTTGAAACAATTGGCAGGAGTGATGAACCCTGGTTAATGCCATGAAAGACAAATAGAACATAAATAGGCAAAATTTAAAAATCAAGGTGAAAATAACTGTAGACAAAAAAGAAATTCTTAAAAATCCCAAGTAACAGTTTTGCACAACTTAAAGCAATTAAAATGAAAATGTGAATTTAAAAGATTGTTTTTCAGAACAAATATATAATTCTAACCACTAAATTGAAAACAGATAACTTTGCACTCTATGAAAGTTAAAAATAAAAGAATAAGTATTTGTAGGCATTTGAATTTAAAGATAAAGAAAGCAAAGTTGATTGGTTAACTGAATATCATATTAGGTAGAATTAATGCCAAAAATATTTCATAAGGTAAAGACTGAACTTTATTCTGCTAAATGTTACAATTCACAATTTAAAAAATTATACCTAACTATGAAACAAATATAAAGGCAACATTTAATTCCTATTAGAATGGATTAATTGAATCCATTAATTAAGGAATTAAGTGGTCAACAAGAACAATAACAAAAAAACTGAAAAGAAGAAAAACTGAAAATTTAAGAAATATAACCAATAAGGTAGATTGATGATATGCTGTGTGTGCATATGTAATATGTGTATGTCCATGTATACACAATAATTACCAGAAACAAAAAAAATAATTGTTATATAATAATTATAATACAGCAATATCTTCTTAACTAATTATAATAGAATTAGAAATCAATAATGAATCAGAAATCAAATACAAGCTTCTATCTGAAATTTAACACAAATCTTTCTTTTTCAATAGCTGTTATGTCAAAGGAGGTTTTAGAAAGAATGATAATTGAAATACTAGTTACAGGACACTTGGGTTGAATGCACAGCAATACTCACAGAAAATTCTGTACCTTGTATGGTTCTTTCAATAAAAATAAATTATGAAATCATACAGACGAGGTGTGCAACTCAGATTATTGAAAAGAGAGCACACATTTATAGAAAGAAAAAAGAATGACAAAATGATAAATATAAATGCAGAAATTAAGAGTTACAAAAGAGAAAAAAATACATAATTAGTTGAGAACCAAAATTCCAGATTATATGAAAAATAAAATTAAATTCTAGCTAACCTAATCATGCAAAAGGGAAAATGCACTAATATACAAATGTAGAAAATATTCTGACTAAAAAAAAGAACTGAACTAACTTCAAAGATGACGTTCTAGTTGACACAAGAATGCATCACATTCAGAATTTACCAAAATGAAGTAAAAACAAACATCCTATCAATTTGCATCACTAGACATTGTCATCTTTGGCATTTATTTGCCAGGGAACTCTAGCAGCACTATCATTTTTTTTCTTTCTCTCTTCTCTTCTCTTCTCTGCTCTTCCTTCCTTTCTTTCTTTTTCTTCTTTCTTTCTTTTTTTTTCTTTTTTTTTTTTTGAGACGGAGTTTCGCTCTTGTTGCCCAGTCTGGAGTGCAATGGTGCCATCTCGACTCACCGCAACCTCTGCCTCCCGGGTTCAAGAGATTCTCCTGCCTCAGCCTCTTGAGTAGCTGGGATTACAGATGTGCACCACCACTCCCAGATAATTTTGTATTTTTAGTAGAGACGGGGTTTCTCCATGTTGGTCAGGCTGGTCTAAAACTCCTGACCTCAGGTGATTAGCCCACTTCAGCCTCCCAAAGTGCTAGGATTACAGGTGTGAGCCACTGTGCCTGGCCAGCACTGTTACTTTCATAGTGTTATATGAAATATGCTTCCCAATGATAAAGTGATTATAAAAATTCCCATGCATAATTGTCCACGAGAGCAAATTGGAAGTCATCTCTGGTTGTGATACACCAATTACTGATGGCCTAAGAAAAGTGCTGAGACATATGATGGCCGGTTGCAATGCGACACTGGAAATAACCTCTGGAGAATATGGCTGTGTTCAGAATGGAACTATTTACAATTGGCAACGGAGTAATTTCTATCACTATAGTGGCAAAATAGTAAGTAACTATATCCACAGTTAGATTTTCTCAATGTTCAATAATCATTTGTATCCTTAGGGGCTGTTTTAAAGCATATGCCCTTAATCATGTAATTCAAAATATGGAATGGAGCCTTTGAAAAAGTTGTTTTTTAGAAAAGGTAACATAGTGTTAAAACATTTAAAAGGTTCAAAATAAAACAATATAAAATAGTATAAACTGAAAACCGTCTTATACACATTTCTGTCTATCCCATATCTACTTCCCTGACCCTGGAGAAAAAAAAAAGTAAGTTTCGGAAATTTTTTTCCAATATTTCTTTATGCAAATAAAACATATTTTTTATTTCCTCCCCTCTTTGTAGTGTATAACATATGCTGTTCTCAACCATCTGTATGCCCTTTATCAATGTATCTTGATAATTTTTATACAACTGTAGTGATCTTCATTTTTGGGTGTGTAGCTATTAAGCATTCTTTTTTTTTTTCTTTTTTTCTTTTTTTCTTTTTTTTTTTTGAGATCGAGTCTTGCTCTGTGGCCCAGGCTGGAGTGCAGTGGAACGGTCTTGGCTCACTGCAACCTCAGCCTCCCGGGTTCAAGCAATTTTCCTGCATCAGCCTCCTGAGTAGCTGAGATTGCAGGCACCTTCCACCACCCGCAGCTAATTTTTGTGTTTTTAGTAGAGATGGCATTTCTCCATGTTGGCCAGGCTGGTCTCCAACTCCTGGCCTCAAGTGATCCACCAGCCTTGGCCTCCCAAAGTGCAGGATTACTTGAATATTCTAATTCTAATAAGTGGTTATAGCGTAGTATATTTTAAAATACCCTTAAAGAGAAGCACTTTAATATTTTACATGTTATTTTGTTACTTCAAAGAATATAGCAATAAATAATGATGTACAAATATAATTGTGTGTGTATATGGGTGTAATCATAGAATAATTTTTAGAGGAAAAACTACAGAATCAAAAGGTTAGTTATAATAGAAGTTGGCAAATTCACCTCATTGAGAGTTATATCATTTTCCATTCTCAAAAGCCATGTTTGAGAGTGCCTGTTTCTCCACAACTTCATGAATAGAATGTGCTGTAAACCTGTCAACTTTTGGATAGTGCTAATCAGATGGAGGAGAAATAATTTCTCTTTGTAGCTTTAATTTTCATGTATTTTATTATGAGTGAGGTTGAGGACCTTTTCATATGTTTTCCTATGATTCATATATTTTAATAACTGTCAGTTTATTCCTCTTGTATACATTTTATTAATGAGCTATTTGTTCTGTTATTGATGTCTAAGAGCCATTTACATTACAAAAATCAATCCTTAGTGGCATGGGTTTCAATTTTTGTTTTTTAGTTTGCTATTTATTGTTTGTGATTTCATTTATTTTTTTAAAAAATGTGTAACTTTTATTAGTCAAATGTATCAAAAATTTTGTTGTTCCTGTGTTTTTTGTTTGTTTGTTTGTTTTTTGAGACAGAGTCGCCACTGTGTCGCCCAGGCCGGAGTGCAGTGGCACCATCTTGGCTCACTGCAACCTCTGCCTCCTGATTTCAAGAGATTCTCCTGCCTCAGCCTCCTGAGTAGCTAGGATTACAGGTGTGTGCCACCACACCTGGCTAATTTTTTGTATTTTTAGTAGAGACAGGATTTCACCATGTTGGCCAGGCTGGTCTCAAACTCCTGACTTAAGGTGATCTGACCACCTCTGCCTCCCAACCTGCTGGGACTACAGGCGTGGGCCACCGCGCCTGGCCATAGTTCCTGTTTTTAGCAGTGATTAGAAATACTTGCTCAACTTTAAATTAATATAAAAATATACAGTTTTCAGAAATTTTTATTTTGTTTTTTCTTTGTTTTCCCATAACCATTGATTTAAATGTTCATCTGTATTACCACTGATTTGAGATTCTAACTTCCTTATATATAAAATTGCCATAAGTACTTGAGTCTGTTTTTTTTGAGTCTGGAATTTATATTCTGTTCCAATATTCTGTTTGTCCATGTATTTGATAGAGCCATACAATATAAATTAGGCGAAGACAGCCTTTCCCCTTGCTTTACTCTTTCAGAGAGATTTTGAAAATATGTTTGTGATTCTTTTCTTATAAAGTTAGAAATTGTATATTTTTAGAAAAAATGATAAATGTATTGAATTGCATTTGAATATAATAATTAATAAATAGATAAATGGCATGTTTGTCATGTTTATCCTTTTTATTGGAAATTATGGGCAATTTTGCATTTGTTCAAATGTAATTTTTGTTATTCATAAGTGTTATAAAGTTGATTTTTGTTTAAATCTAGAACTTTTTTTATTACATTTATTTCTAGACTTTTTGTTTTTTATTATGATTAGACAAATGATATTTTCTTCCGTTACATTTTCAAACTTTTGTATAGCGGGTTACTGATGTATGTACAATAATTTTATGTACCACTAATGGAATGCGTTTATTTATAGTAAAAGTTTTTAATTAATTTTTGGACAAAAATAATATTTTTAATTTGAGTATTCATAAATGTTTACATATGTTGATATTAAAACATTTGTACCTATTTCTACATATCACATTCTTTCATTAGCTTAAAGTCTATAGTCCATCATAGAAAATGTTATTTCTTCCTAATATTAGTGGAACTGCTACTAATAAATAATGCGTATTTACTAATTACGATGCTGGCTTAAGAACTGTGTACACATACAAAAATGGGCACACCACACATCTTTACAATTATATATGTGAAAAATGTATGTATGTGTTTGTATGTATTGTGCAGGTAAATATATACACATTTATATGAAGTGAAATGAATGAATTAATTAATTTTAACTTTTAAGTTCAGGGGTACATGTGCAGGTTTGTTATACAGGTAAACTCACGGGAATTTGTTGTACAGATTATTTTGTCACCCAGGTATTAGGCCTAGTACCCATTAGTTATTTTTCGTGATCCTCTTCCTCCTCCTAACCGCCACCCTCCAGCAGGCCTCAATGTGTGATGTTCCCTTCTTTGTGTTCATGTGTTCTCATTGCTTAGCTCACACTTGTAAGTACAAATATGTAGTGTTTGGTTTTCTGCTTCTGTGTTAGTTTGCTAAGGATAATGGCCCACAGCTCCATCCACATTCCTGCAAAGGACATGATCTAGTTCTTTTTTATGGTTGCATAGTATTCTGTATTATATATGTACCACATTTTCTTTATGCAGTCTATTACTGATTGGCATTTAGTTTGATTCCATGTCTTTGCTATTGTGAATACTGCTGCAATGACCATATGTGTGTAATTGTAATTTCTTTTGTGCATATGTCTATATATGTACAGACACACATATGCATGTAAATATACACAAGCACATACATACATGATACAAGGAAATATTTACTAATACTAGTCTATTTAAGGGCTTTATATTTTAATTAAGAATTATTCTGTTTTGCCCAACAATTGCAAAAAACTACGTTTTCAATCTTTAGATCCACTAGTATCATAAATTGTGTTTAAATAGCTCTAATATTTAATGATTCTTAAAATACACAGTATTCATGTAATTTCATGTTACTTACACATATATTTATATATGTATTTACATATATATTTATAGCTGGTACTGGTGCTGATTCGTGGTCTCTATCTCTCTAACAGCCTTTGTCAGGTTTTGGCATGATAGTAAGGGCTCTAATTTTTCCTTGAAGCCCTCATTCTCTTAATTCCTTTGAGCAATACACTAGTCTCTTCATCACTCCTTCATCTTGGGCCTACTAATTTTTTTTTATTTCTATGGTATTGAGTGCTCTTATGTAACTATGCTTTTTAAATAGACTTAAAAAATAAATGTTTAATTAGTCCAGATACTATTAGAGTTTTCAAAACATGTGTTTTAACTCTGTAATATAATGATCAATTCTGTCTAGTTCTGTTTTAAAATGTGTAACTTAAAATTTTAAATTACGGCAAATGATTCTGTTGACAGCTATATTTTAAAACATTACACACATTTTTCAAATGCTTAAGGTACAGGGGAAAAATCTTGTAGGTTCCATGAATAATCAAGAGTTCAGAAAACATATTTTCTTGTCTTCCAAGCATCCTTTCCAAGACTTCTTCCTGTTTTAAGATACAAAGAAAATTCCTAATTTTAGAATTCCAGTAAATCTATCTCAGGGCTTTCATTTTAAATACTGGTTGGTTAAGTTTGGTATAAAGTTATACTCATAATATTTGCATCCCCGTGGTATTTGAAAGTAAATATGATTTCCTACTTTTTCTTTATCTGTTTTAATATTACATTATGTAAAAAATGTGCATATCTACAAAATTATAGAGAATAGTTTGGAAGGAAGGCAACTGGACATGTTCAGAGCAATGCTGTTTTGTTTCTGTTTGCCATTTTACAACTGCCTGACCTCAGAATGTACTTGATGCTGCAGACGAAAATTGCTGACACTGATAAAAAAGACTGTGCTGAGAACTGAATTATTCTAAACCTCAGATTCAAGGAATTTTTTTCTAGAAGCCAATGAACTGTTTTGATAACACTTTACCACCAATCAAAATAGTAGGTTTTGAGTGAGCTATTGAGTACTAACTTCCTAATTCCTTTAAAAGTCAGACTCAAAAATAGCTGGTCAGGACACAATTTCAGATACCTCTGGAATCTGTGTTTCTCAGTTGCCATTGTAAGACCAACAATAAACCCCTTTATTTGGATTTCAGTCTCTTTTACTCTTTGGTTCAGAATAGTGTAATGTGGCACCATTTATAGACTCCCCCGTTCAAAAATCATTAATCATGGCCAATCATCAGTATCTTTGCTCACATTCTTTCATTATTTTATGTTAAAGTAAATCCTAGATATATGTTTTAAACTATGGATAATGCAATAATTATCTCTAAATTTAAGGACTATTAAAAAATAACCAGAATATCATTATCACCCCTAAAATATTTAGTAATAATTAATTGATATTTCTTAATACATTTCAAGTTATTAGTGTTCAATATTCAATTGCATGACTGCCATTAGTATATTAAATATAGTTCATTTATCTTTACAAAACTCAGATTCTTATAATCACTCCATAGAAGAATATAAAAATATTGCTTATTTGACCCACGGCTGCAGAACATATTGTTGTGTATAGGTTTGTTCAACCAACTCTCTTTGAGATAAACATTTAAGTTGGTTCCATTATTTTCTATGAAAAATAGTCCTGTAATGAAGAGATTTGTGCATCTGCCTTTCTATATATTTAGATTTTATATTTAGATAATCCCTTGAGGTAAGATTGTTGCAACAAATGGTAAAGGATATGTAAGATTGGTAAATGTTAACACATTCCCTTCATTAGATATTTATAATATTTCAAGAAAGAGCTATTTTCTCACAACCTCACCAGTAGAGGACGAGTTCAAACTTCTGTCTTTGCCAATCCAGTATGTAAAATTTGGTATCACAATATTTTTTAATATTTATTTTTCTTACTGTAAAATGTGAAACACTTTAGATTTCGGTGAAGAATGACTCACATCGCATTTCTTTTTCTGTGAATTGTCTCCTTTCTCTTTCCTTCCTTCCTTCCCTTCCTTCCTTCCTTCCTTCTTTCTTTCTTTCTTTCTTTCTTTCTTTCTTTCTTTCTTTCTTTCTTTCTTTCTCTCTCTCTCTCTTTCTTTCTTTCTTTCTTTCTTTCCTTTCCCTCCCTACCTCCCTCCTTCCCTTCCTTCCTTCCTTCCTCTCTCTCTTTCTCTCTCCCTTTCTTTTCTTTCTTCTTTTCTTTTCTTTTCTTCTTTTTTAGAGTCTTGCTCTGTCTCCCAGGCTGGAGTGCAGTGGCAGGATCTCGGGCTCACTGCAACCTCCACCTCGCGGGTTCAAGCAATTATCCTCCCTCAGCCTCCTGAGTAGCTGGGACTTCAGGTCACGCGCTACCACGCCTGGGTAATTTTTGTATTTTTGCTAGAGACACAGTTTCACCATATTGGCCAGGCTGGTCTCGAACTCCTGACCTCAAGTGATCCTCCTGCCTTGTCCTCCCAAAGTGCTGGGATTACAGGCATGAACCACCACGCCCTCTGTCTCTTTATTTCTATAGCTCTTGTTCCCCCTCAGCTCCCCTCTGGGTTGATGGTTTTCTGTGTTTATTTTTAGAAGCATTTCTAGGTAGGACTATAACTGTTTGTCTGTGATGTATTTTACAATTGTGTCTTTCCCCAGTTTGTTTTCTCTTTACTCTGCATATTCCTTTTTCATAATTTAAAAACTTTAATTTATCAAATTTATTTATAATTACCCTTAGTGCTCCAGAGTTTTAATACATAGTTTTGAGGATTATACTTCATTTTCAGGTTTGGTAAATTATAAAAATGATCAGGAATTTTCACTCCTTTCATACAAAGATGAATCTGTTTCTCATTCCTTCAATCTGAAACAACAAAGTGACTTGCAATAATTGTCAGTGAGGCGTTAGTGAAGGTGAGCAATAGAAGCAAGAGCAAAACAATCCTCATACCCTGGAGGTTATGATCATCTTGCTCTAGGAACCCAAACAAACCTGGGTTAGCTGGCTTGTTGGTGAGAGACTATTACCCTTGCTGACACTGAGTCAGCCTCCAGATACAGGGTTGAGTCCATCCGGAACCAGCCTGTCCCTAACAGACCCACCAACTGTCTGAAGATACTTGATCAAGCCACATTGAGAGCAGCTAAGCCCAGCCCAGATATGAAAAACTGCCCAGCAGAAGCAAGAGCAAAGCATGATTATTATTTTATTATTACAATTTGAGGTTCTTTAATATTCAGCGATATAAAATTGCTACTTATTGCACATTATAGAGGAAATAAATTTGCAATTTATCCCAGGTTTTTTATGGTTGCCTTCTTTTTTTTTACATTTAATTCTGATCCATCTGAAATTTGGCCCTGCATAGAAATGGGTTTAATTGGTAACATTTTGTCTGTATGTGTCCATCAATACCTCACTGATTTGAAGTTTAAACTTTATGGTGATGAGATACACAAAATTGGGAAATTTTCTGAATGTTGTATTCTATTACACTGATTATGTCTATTCATTTCCAATGCCATACCTCTGTAATTATATAGGTTTTAAAATATGTTTTAATATCTGACAGCACTTACCCGGCTTCTCACTCTGTTTTTGCAGTATGTTTCTGTTCACTCTTTTGTGTATGTTCTTCCAAATAAGTTTTATAACAAAGTTATTTAGATCCAGAACAAAACAACTCTCAGCATTTTAAACAGGTAATACTCAATTACAGATTACTTAAGGGAGAATTACTATTTCTTCAGACTTTATATTCAAGAAAATAAGCAGATTTTGTATTTGTTTACGTCTCTTTTGTGTCAGATAGTTATCTGGATAAGATAATTTTATGATTTGCCTTGTTAAAATTTAGAATGTTGTATTATTCTTTTCTCACACTGTTAATAAAGACATACCCAAGACTGAGTAATTTATAAAGGAAAGAGGTTTAATCGACTCACAGTTCCATTTGGCTGGGGAGACCTCACAATCATGGCTGAAGGAGAATGAGGAGCAAAGTCAAGTCTTACATGGCAGTAGGCAAGAGAGCTTTTGTAGAGGAATTCCCCTTTATAAAACTATTAGATCATGAGACTTATTCACTTTACAAGAGCAGCATGGGAAAGATATGGCCCCATGATTCAATTACCTCCCGCTGAGTCCCGCCCACAACACTTGGGAATTATGGGAGCTACAGTTCAAGATGAGATTTGAGTGGGAACACAGCCAAACCATATAAGATGTCCCATTCTATTCTGCTTTCTTTTTAAAATATGACTCCTTCTTAACCCTAATATAAAGTTCTGCAGGACGTAGGACTTTGAAAATTTTTTATGAAGATGAGGGGATAATGTAATTATTGAAACTCATAAACATGAACCAAAAACAGCACTTGGGTTAATAAATATTATCTAAATCAACTGTTATTTAACTTTAGGGCATTCTGATATTCACAATGGTGTAAATATATTTTGGACATTCAGTACAGTCAATAAATATTTTGAAGACAACCTATAGATACATAGGTATGTTTACTATTTTCTGGGTGAGAGAGTCAACACTATTTTACCAAACATTGTATATTCTGGAATTTTTATAGCCTCAACTGTGTTTATGCTCATTAGTCTGTGCTCATATAGTGAAGAAGTTATTAGATAAAATGAATGTCTTTACAATAAAGGTTCAGAATATATATTCTGCTCTAGGAAGCTTGGATATAAACATTTTTATTCCACACCAGATGGTATAGGCTCAGCCCCATGACAGTAATTATAGATGCATTTTTGCATCATTATGGGTAAGCAAACAAGTATTAAACAGCTTCAACAATACATTTGTGACAAAAAAGAAGCATTTCTGTGCTAATGTGTCAGCTATTACACACGGAGCTCATTGCCATTAACAATAAAATTTTGGATTTATAGGCTTCTGTAATGTGACAATGCACGTGGGAATTACACTACTCATTCATCATGTGTAATGCTAGAATACAGCAATTTCATGCTAAGAGTTAGTTCTGGATAACATGTTTCCAAGGGCCTAACAGAGAAGACAGCTGTACTTTCCATCATTTCCATTAACTACATGTTTGATCTGAAAAACCAATAATAAACTATCTACAAGGATATGCTGATGAAAAACAATAGCATTATCACAAAAATCTCACAGTATCAAGAATATATGAGAAATCGTATGAAAATAATTTACAGTTGAGTTTAAATTTTAAATAAACAATGACTGTGTTTGCTTTCTTTCATGACTAATACATTGAAAAAGCCGTTCATTGAATAGCAATGCATCCATATATTTTGATAGGTTGTTGAAGTTTAGAAAGATAAATATATGATTTCTCTCTTATAGAATTTTTGGTCTAGTAAGGTATATTTTTTAATGTTTATATATTATGTGTTAATGTAATATTTATAAAAGACTATTTTGTTCCATAATAAAATATATTATGTTTCCTTCCATTTTTATCTATTGGTTATCTACTACCTAATACTTTAAACTGTAGTTCTTATTAAACTAGAAAGCACTCTGAATGAGTGAACTGAAATTTACAAACATTAGTAAGCAAACACAAGCATGCAGAAAGAAGAGAGAATTGAATGAAACAAAATATTTTTAGTTATAAATTCTATTACAAATTTCAAATATTGATGCTTTCACAGCCAAAAAACCTTTGATTAATTTTCTTTGAATAGTGTAGTTTTTATACAATAAAACATACAAACAATTCTATTCCCTCCTATGACATCTTTGCAGGTTAAATATTTCAACTTGCTAGAAACTAGAACACCCCCTCAGAGAAATCACACACACAAACACACACATGGTTTGTCAGTCTTCTCTCAAAATTATTTTAGTTCTAAAGCCAGACAAAATGTGAGATAGAACTTGCCAATCTAGAACAAATATACGGTCAAATCTCAAAGTACTGCAAACATGTGTTTTCTTATTTTGATAAGAATCCACGTTATATATTTGTGCATGCAAGTGCTTGGACAAATGTGATAGTGAGATTTTGACCAAGTCATCTTCTGAGTGCTACGATTTTCCTAGTGAAATAGAAGGCTACATCAGTTAAATAAGATGGAGTGGGGTGTAAAGTTAGAGGCTGAGAAGAATGTAGAAGTTATGAACTAAGTACCCAAGAGAGATGTGGAGTGAATAATGACGAAACAAAGTAAGATTTTTGGGCAGCTGAAAGGAAGATGCCAGATTGCATTCAGGATAAACTTTCACTTTTGTAGTTATAAATTACAGTGAACAATGAGCATAGCTAGAATAACTTTTCAGCCAGGTTCTGTTGCAGAGTTTTGGATGTTTATTACGGAGAAATTTGTATGTAATCAAAAGTTTGTATGTAATAAAAATAAACAGAGAAATGGAGTTGAGGATACATGAAAGCAATTGATAAAAAGGTCTGACTGTGGAATTTCACCTTTAAAAACAAAAATGTTAAAACAAAGTGTTTTTTTAAAGGTGAAACAAAGTATATGAGGCTAGAGATAGGAATAGGGCAAAGCCAATATAATTAATGAAGCTTAAATATTCATTAGTCAAAAGATTTTGGTGTGAGGAAGCTGGAGAGAATACACTCAAAGTACAAAGGCCAATGGACAGCAAGCAGAATGTATGCTTTTGTAATTATAGACAATGTGCTGCCATTGATAAAGACAAACGGTTTGGTTATGACCAAGGAAATAATTGGTCACAATAGGATGAAGGACAAACTTATAGAGGAAGACAAATTCCAAGAGCTGAGAGTGCAGACTATTGGAAGGACCTCCTACATCTATAGAAAATTGACCAAGATTCGAGATCAAGTTAGATTTGGAGATATTGGAGTTAGTTTCAAAATTCATTTAAAAAATGAGAATCTATTGGCTGCCATAATGAGAGCACATAAGAGTCAAGGCCTGATGGTTTTAGGCCAGTTGGAGAAAAAAGGTTCTGGAGGTAACTCTCAGAAAGAGAGCGTTTTTCCATCCAGTGTTACTAGAGCTGTGGTGGAAAACTCACATACTGTCCTACATGAGTCTTCATTAAATTAAACTTATAAAAACAGTCAGTGCCAGTTGTGGTTGAGTTGTGTCCCTCTAAATCATATGTGAAACTGAACCCCAAGTAGCTGTGAAGGTGAACTTATTTGGAAATAGGGTCTTTGGAGATGTAATCATATTAAGACAAGGTCATTAGGATGGGCCTTGATCAAATATAATCAAAGATACTTTATAATAGAAGAGACGCAGACATATAGACACACAGAGAGAAGGCCATGAGATGACAGGGGCAGAGAGTGGTGTGATGGAGAGAATCCAAGGAATGACACAATTACTGCCAACTACCGGAAGCTGGAAGAGACAAGGAAGAATTCTTCCATAGAGCTTTCAGAGAGAAGTACCTGTGACACCTTGATTGTGGGTTTCTCATCTCCAGTCTTTGAGAATAAATTTCTGTTGTTTTAATCCACCTGGTTTATGGCAATGGATTACCAAAGCCTTAGAAAACAATGCCTAAGACATTTGCAGGGAAATAGATGTTCTCAGGGAAAAATCACGTTTTCTGTCAGAGTAAGAAGGGAAATCTAACGGACAGAGTTGTGATTTTGGTGATTATTGGACTAAATTCTAAAGGGCAGAGTGAAAGCGTGTTAGAAATATTTTCTTGCAGTACAGATATCGACTTAATGCTTAAAAATAGATTCTCAGGTTATAAATATACATATTGTCTTATCTAAAAATACAAAAGATAAAGTTTATAAATTAAATTTAATTATTGTTTATCTTAGTATTGTGAATAGAATCAGTCTGTTATTTCAAATACAATTAAAAGCTGGAAGGATATAATCATTTTTATTTCAATGGGTTTATAATAACCTCAATCTATTGATTTTTGTTAATAATTAACCAATTTCAAAGAAATATTCTTCATATGTAAAACAAAAAATTATAATAAAAATGAAAAGAACATACATATATTTTATTAAACATGTATAATAGAAATGAAGGACTAATACCCTCATTTCTTTGTCATGGATAATTTTTCACTTTTTAAAGTAAATTTGTTGATGAAAACAACATAACTTAATTTCATCATAAATCTCAAAGAGGAATGGTAATAAAAGTATGTCCATCTTCCTCTGTTCATTATAAACTAAATTTATCTATGGGAGATAAGGCCGTTGTTTCAATTCAATTAAACTTGGACATAAACTAAGTATTTCTTTTCCAGAAAATATGAAATAATCAAAGCAAGTTTGAAAATGGTAAGATCCATGTCTCTATGGTTTGAATACATCTGTGGCACATGCTGAAAAAATTTTTGCTGCTATAATGAAGCAAAGGTTCTGGTTACTGTATTTCTAAAATATGTCACACACTAGTCCTTTCACTGCATATACTGTTTGTTATGCTTTGGAGCAATCTTGGTAAATGCCATCATTGACATTTAATTAAAAGGTGGTAGATACTAGCACTGTAAAATAATTCTCCTCTAGGCTTCAAGTGTATCAATTTATCTAATTTATCTTTTTTACTTAATTTAAACTACAGATAGACAGAAATAGCTACATAGAGATATACATAGATACACAGATATTCAAGAGAGAGATGTGAAAGCTGTTAAACAAGTGATACAAATAAAATATACTGATCTTTGAGCACTTGACCCTATCTCTCTCCCTTTCTGTAACAGTTCCTGTCGGGACCTTGTCTATAACCCAGTGATATTCAGTTTTGCTTGTATACACTAAAGAGTTTCTACTTCCAGAACCTGTGATTCCCCGTGAAGTCTTCATCTGAAGGGATCAGTTGAGCTTAAGTACAGGCCAGGTCAGAAGGGCTGCATAGTTAATGATCCCAGTAGTGCCCTCACTCAATGATAGAAAGGAATTGGTGAGTAATTTACTGCAACTCTTGTTCTTTGAGAGATAAAACCCTGAGTGTATTTCATGTGGTCTTTCAGAGGTCTCGGTATTACTAATCACCAATTCCCCACAGTGGTCATCTCATAGCACACACTTATTGGCTTCCTTTCTTCCTTTCCTCTCATTCACTCATTCTTTTATCATTCAAATAAACTATTAATATTTGAATTCATTCTTGTTATAAGACCTATTTGACATTTAGCAAAGAACACCAACACAGATACTCTCATCTTTTTGATCACTATCAATCCCTACTTGCCACTTCCACTACATTTCTTTCACCTTAAAAAAATAATAGTAATAATCCTGACCCGAGTTTACTCTTCAGCTTATGCCCAATTGCTTCATTCCCCTTTGCAGCAAAACTCCTTGGACCTATTGCTTAAATTTAGCTGTAATTGACAGAACATACTCTTATTTTTTGCTTGTATTAGTCAGAATAATGACCTCTGAAAGATATTAACTCCTTATCCCTGGGACCTGTGGATATTAACTTGTAAAGAAAAAAGATATGTTTACGTCAGGGATCTTGTCATGGAAAGATCACTATTAATTATTGAAGTAGGTCCTCAATTCAATCAGAAATGTCATTAAAGGAGAGAGGCAGAGGGAGATTTGACACATACAAAAGAGAAAATGTGATGGGAGACTGAAGGGGAGATTGGAGTGATGTGAACACAAGCAAAGAAAACCTGGCAGGAGCTGGAGGAAGCAAGGAAAGCTTCTCCCCAGAGCCTCTGGAGGGATCATGTCCCAGTAAAACTCGGTTGAACGTCTGATCTCCACTATTGTGAAATAATAAATTTCTGTTGTTTTATATCACCAAGTATGTGATAATTCGTTAACGCAGCCGCTGGAAACTAGCACAATGCCTATCTCAAAATTTGCTCCTCAATAACTTTGCTGATATTTCATCTATTAATGTTGACTATTCCATATTCCACAGCTCCAGATACTCATCTATTTCCTGTCTAGAATCTTTCCTTTTATAATCTCATCAAATTTTATCTTTAAAAATTATATTTTTGCCAATAATTTTCATTTTTTTCTGGATTGCTGCTTTCAATTGCAAATTCATCTAACCAGTTGACATACAGGCCTAATAGACATATCAATGTCAAATCAAACTCTGGTCTTTCTTCCTTGAAACTATTCCCCATGCCCCACCTCATCCTCCTTTACTCAAAGTGTCCCCCTTGTACTTATTTAAATATAATAATTTGGGGTCATATTGTTTTTATTTCTCTCTCTCTTTCTTTCTTTCCTTCTTTCTTTCTTCTTTTTTTTTCCAAACATGATCAATACCTCAGCAAATCTGCTTGGCACCACCGTGGAAATACACCTAAACTGTAACCACTGATCATCACTCTGATTATCTTGGTTCAAGCCAATAGCAATGCTTCTCCAAATTATTACCCTAGCCTGCTTCTCCTATCCTTAGAAGGGTACATTCTATACTCCAGACAGCCTCTAAGGTGATACCTTGAAAATGCAAGCCAGTTAATGTTACTATTCTGCTTTAAGCCTTGTAGTGATTCCCATTTTATGCAAAGAAACAGCCAAAGTCACTGTAAGGGACTAACAAGTCAGGCTCCCATTACCTCTCACACTTCATCCCCCACTATTTTTCTACTGATTACCCCTTTCAAGGTCACCTGGGCCACCTTAATGTTTTGTTTTGTTTTGTTTTAATAATCCAAGGGTAATCCTTTCTTGTCTCCTCTTGCTTTGACTGTTCCTTTTATCAGGGATGCTCCTCTAGATATTCATCTGCCTAACTCACTTCAAATATTTGCTTAAATTCCACCCTATTAATAAAATCTACCATTTTCATCCTATTTAAAATGAAATAACAACCTATTTCACATCCTATCCACTCATTTCAGCACTCATGATACAATTCATCCTCCTCCAGTTTTCCAAAACATTAAAAAAATTAACATATTATTTACGCATGATATTTACTTTTCGTTTTCTCCTCACACCACATTATGTAGGCAAACCAGTAACATATATGTAGCATTTTCTCTTTAAACTCCTGATCTACTTAGGTTCGTAGCACAGCGTCCTTCACAGAACAGGCACACAGCCAATATTTGACTGACTGAGGCAATTAACAAAGAACAGCTATTAACATTTTCATTTCTATATATCAAGATCACAGGAATTTCGATTTCTGAAGTGCAAGAAACATTTTTATTTACATTTCCACAGTTCTTTTATTGTTAACACTATCACATTTTAAGACTTAAGAACCTAATTGATGAACACACTTAAAGTCATCAAAAAATATACGTAAATACCCATAGTTGCTGGGTAAAATTATTAAAAATTTATCATACCAAAGGCTTAATTATCTAGATTTATGTTCTGAAACAAATCTCTTAGTTTGTGACTCTCATTCATTTAATCCAAATGCTCATTCTTCTTATCTCTGTCCACCTCCTTTATATTGTTAAATCAGTTTCACTGAAAGTTATAGGCTCAAAATAAGTTATTAGTTCTTAGTGACCCTATCATTAGATAATTATTGAACTACACCTTGATTGTTAATTTTCAAAATGAATTGTTGCTCATTACCACTCAAATCGTTTACTCTCCATAATAAAATATGAAAATATGCACTTGCCCAGAAGATAAGAAAAATAAATAAAGCCAGTTGAGTATGAGCATAAAAATGTAAGATGTGGAGACTCTTTTATAATGAAGCATTTATACCCTTTGAAATAAATGCAGGTGCTCTCCACCTAAATATTATCTTTGAAAAACCTTCTAGTTTTTGAAGAAAAAGTGGATAAGTATATTTTTAGAATGTAGAACAATACTTTGTTTGTTCCTTTGTTTAAAAATATTGTTTGAGCTACAACCATCCAAGCCAAACCAAACTCATATGTGAAATGGATTTGGCTTGCAGGCTACCAATATGTGACTGCATTACTCCATCATCCCCAGAAAAATGACAACCCATTAATCACTGCAATTTTCTAGGTTAGCAAACATTTAATAAGATTAAAAAGTGTTTGCAGTATTCCTTAATCTCTAAAACCTAGTCCACACTTTATTTTCTACATACCTAGTCCCAACCCTTAATAGAGAGTTGTCAAGGAGAGTGATTTCCTGATAGTTTATGATTAACTCATGGTCATATTTCCTCTGCATTTTATTAATTCATGTTTTGATTTAAACAATGTACCTGTTTACCTACCTGAGTTTGTAATCTAGATGCATATGTATGAATAAGTACCTGCTTCGTTTTCGTTCTAGAGTGTCACATCAATACAAAACAGTAGTAACATTAAAGGCATAGGCAACAAAAAAAGTAGACAAAATTGGACTTCATGAAAATTAAAAATATTTGTCCATCAAAAGGCATTATCAAGAGAGGAAAAAGATAATTCACAGAAGGGGAGAAACTATTTGCAAATCATGTATCTGATAAGGGATTGATAAACAGAATATGTAGAGAACTACTAAAATTCAACAACAGAAAAACAGCCAGATTCAAAAGTAGGCAAATGACTTGAGTAGATGTTTCTCCAAAGAATATGTAAAAATGGCCAATAAGTATACAAAAAGATGTTCAACATCACTAATCATTAGATAAATGAAAATCAAAGCTACAGTGAAATACCCTTTAGGATGACAGTTATCAAAAAAAAGAAAACAAAATAGAATATAGCAGATGAAGATGTGGAGAAATTGGATTCCTTGTGCACTGTGGGTAGGAACACAGAATGGAACAGATTCTGTGGAAAAGAGTATGGTAGTTACACTTATGGCTTTGTACCCCCCTCAATTAAAAGCAGAATCCTGAAGAGATACTTGTACACTCATGTTTTTAGCAACACTATTTACAGTAGGTAAATGTGGAAGCAACCCAAGTGCCCAAGGACAGATACATGGATAAGTAAAATATGGTACACATATACCATAAAATACTATTCAGGCTAGAAAGGAAGGGAATTTTGACACATGCTACAACATGAATGAGTATTGAAGACAATATGCTAAGTGAAATAAGCCAGTCACAAAAAAGACAAAGACTGTATGATTCCACTTACATGATATACTTAAAGTAGTCAAAACTATAGAAAGTAGAAGAGTGGTTGCTAGGTGCTGGGTGAGAGAGTTTATAAGAATTTATTGTTTAATAGATATAGACTTTCAGTTTTACAAGATGAAATGAGTTATGGAGATGAGTAGTAGTAATGTTTGCACATTATGAATTTATAGAAGACCATTTTAAGTGGATAAGGTTGCAAATTTTATGATACATATATTCAATCACAATAAAATACAAATAAATAAATAAATAAAACATAAAACAAATCCCACAAGTAATTTACAGCAAACTGGTGGCTTTACACTGTGGTTTAAAGGTATTCAAGGAAAAATATGAGGCATCATTACCATCCTTGGCTTCCTGCTTAAATAATTGTTGATAGAATAACACTAAAAACAACACTGAAAATGAAGCAGTTTAACACAAAAAATATTTTGTATTGATCACACTCCATATTCAATGAAGGTTGTTATAAAAAAAATAAAGGTACCCTACAATGGCACTCAGGGACTCAGTTGAATCAGTCTCCCCTTCTAGAATGTTCCTGGGTATCATAGTAGGAGAAGGAATAGGATTTGCTCACAATATGTTGTTCAAAATGAGATACTTGGCCATGCCTAACATCAAGGGGCAGGAATATGTTAGACTGGAGATTAACTGGTGAGACCCACTCTCTGTGCCTGACTGGAACTAAGGCATTTTTTGGTTGTGAATTTATTCCTTTCAGAATATTTTGTTTTCAATGAAGTATATTGACCTGAAAACAGTCAAATTTTCTCAAAATTAAAATTTTTGTAAATATTGTATTATTCTTAAATGTCAGTTTAGAAATGTAAGTTTTCATATTCCAAATCATATTGTATTGATAGGAAGTATATTTTTGTTTCATTATCTATCTGTCTGTCTATCTGTCTAGTGACAGATATTATCTGTCACTATATTATCTGTCACTGACAGAATATTATCTATCTATCTAGTGACTTCAGTGTGTATGCATGAAGCTTCACATAATACAGTTCTTCAAGAAACTTAAAGACAACCAGAAATTTTAGAGGATAAATTATTTTACAATAACTTAGACCTTGCCTATGAAATGTGTGTGTCTCTATATATATATGGATGTATTTATATTTAAGTATGTGCACATATATGTGTGTAACATTCTATTTGGTCATTAAAATCCTATGCAGTGCATTGCTTAATAAAATTATTTAGAAATGTTTCAGATTTTAATTAAATATGCAGTTTTTTATTTATGTGACAAGTAAAATTGTATGCATTTATTGGGTGCAACATGCTGTTTGAAATATATACATATATAGCAAAATGGTTAAATCTAATTAATTCATGTATTCATTACTGCACAGTTATTTTGTGATGAGGACATTGAAAATTACTTTCTTAGTATTTTTTCAGAAGAGATAATATTGTTAACTATAGTCACTATGATGTGATATGGATCTCTTGAACTTATTTCTCCCAGCTCACTGAAATTTTGTATTCTTTGACCAATATCTCCCCAACACACTCACCGCTCCATTGTCCCAGTCCCTGGTTACCACATTTTACTCCCCTAAAATTGTAGTTTAATGTATGTTAGAAAATTATATGTTAAATACTTTTACAAATCACATCTAATTATACTATGTGGCCTAAAAGGTAAAAAAATTATAAGTGTATCATTAAATTTTAAGATCAACACAGTTTTGAAATATGAAATGAAATGAATGGTGAAATGTGATTTAAAGCAGTGTTTAATCATCTTTTAAGTTTTTAATAAATGCAAAATAATGGACGTTTAAAAAGAGACATGATCTACCATGACTTCTAAGGGTAATGGATTGATGATGATGATGATGATGATGATGATGATGATAATGATAATAATAATGAGAGGGAAAAGGAAAAGAAAGAAGAGCAAAAATAAAAAGGGAGAGAAGGAAGAGGAGAAGAAGGCACATTTTTGGGAGGTAGGTTAAAATTCCTTTCATAATTTTTTGATTTACCAACCCCAAATATGTGACTTGGAAAAAGGAAGCATTAGCTTTTCTGAAATACCATGGAGCGCTGAATAAACAAAAAATTACATACTAAACAAATAAATTAAATGAACATTTGGAAATAGCACAGTTAATGTATTACTACCATCTTAAAAGTTAATGTGATCCATGACATTCACAATTTGATCTATTATATATCTTTCTCATTAAGTTAATTCCAATGTTAGTTATGCATAGTTAATTTCATTCATAAATGGCAAGCAGAATTTGTATGAATAGTGCTTTCTTGCATATAGGATTTGAGGGGTAAAAAATTTTCTTCTAATCTGTGTCCAGATATAAATCTTACTGGACTACTTTATTGATCACACCACCCACCAAATGAAAGGCCACCGTGTATCATTATGACTTATCTCCCTCATCACTAATGATTCTTCAGATTAAAAAAAATTATTACACAAATAATTTCCGGAGAGTGCTTATTAAGTATGACACCTCAGACTGGTACATTCTGCCACATAAATAAAACTGCTGCCTGCTTTGAGACCCTATCTTTTCATACCTAAAGAAAAGAAAAAAACAATTTAAGCTAGACAAGCCTTCTCTGGGCATGTAGAAGCACTGTTACTTCTTGGCCAATTATCTTGTTCATTTTTTCACATCTTGCAATTCATTACATATCAAGTGCTGTGCTGAGCACTAGCCATGTACAAATGAAAATGCATCCTCCATGCCCTGTTCCCAGTAAAGTTAATATCCGACTTTGAACAAATATGATAAACTAATATATTTAATAAAATGATGATATTTATTTAATATAGTGAGTCCAAAGGAAATGGCACTCCAAAGTCAGTGAGAGATCTGGGAACAAACTCTATAAGGAATATAGCATTGGATTAAGATTTACAAATGATGAAAGGGGCAGATTTACAGGCAGATGGAATAACATGAAGTGAAGTGTGTGACACAAAAGAACTTAGCAAGTTCATCAAGAAAACAGTCAATTGTGATTTTTTAAAAAAATTTAATGAGAGAAGACACAATTGCAGAAGATGAAGGGCCAGATCCTGAAAGTCTTTCTATGCAAAAGCCCAGTTACTGGAAATTCTTGATACATAGAAGAGGAAGAACTTGACATTTTCCCTCAAGATTGTCTGTAGTTACTGGGTTCTAGATATTAACATTGTCTGAAGTAGATTGAAATACTAAGTTGATTAAAAATGTTTAGTTTAATATGTGTAGAAGTTAAATGTTATGGTATATTCAGTTGGAGATGTAGAGTAAATTATCACGTACACAGGTAGCCAAGTAGAAAATTGTGACCTGAAGGCTAAAATCAGGGTCTCAGCTTGCATGATGGTAGAATAAATCATTGTGGGTATAAGAAATGATTAGGAGGAACATATGTGATAGTGTTTCTCCACCTACATTTTTAAAACATGTATTGAGATGTAATTGACAAATAATATACTCCGTTAAAGTATAAAATTGAGTATGTTTTACATGTGTTTAATATTGTCATCTGTACATCAGTGGAGCCATCAGCATGATATAAGCAACGAATGTATCCATCACACCCAAAAGTTCCTCTGTGTCCTTTGTGACCTTTCTCACCAGCCCTTTAGTATCCCTCCGCTTCATGCCCAGGCAAACACCAATTTGCTTCCTGTCACTATATATTAGTGTATATTTTCTAGAATTTCACATAAAGAGAGCCAAATGGAATGCATTCATTCTTTTTCTCTAGCTTCTTCTATTCAGCATAAGTATTCATGATTCATTTATGTTGTAGCTTGTATCAGTAATTCATTTTTACTCCTGAGTAGTATTTCATTTAATTGTGTTTAAGTCAGGATTCTCCAGGAGACATAACCAATAGAATATATGTGGAAGGTGATTTATTAGGGAGTATTGGCTTACATGATCACAGAGGTAAAGAAGTTCCACCACAAGCCATCCACAAGCTAGAGCACCAAAGAAGCAGGTAGCATGGCTTAGTCTGGAAGCCCCAGAACTGCGGAAGCTGATGATGCAGCCATCAGTTTGAAGCCAAAAGACCTATTGCCCCTGGGAAGCCACTAGTGCAAATCATAGAGTGTAAAAGCCAATGCATCTGGAGTCTGAGTTCAAGGGCAGGAAGAGAAAAAGCATCCTGCCCCAGAACAGAGAGAGTCCTCTTCTTTGTTTATCTTTGGCAGGCCCCCAGACAACTGGATGGAGTCTGCCTGCATTAAGGGCGGGTCTTCTTATGCTCAGTCCACTGGCACATGTCAATCTTCTCTGGAAACACCCTCACAGATACACTGAGAAACAATGCTTCACCAGACATCCTGGCATCCTTCAGTTCAGTCAAGTTAACACCTAAAATAAAATAAACCATCACATATGTATATACCATATATTGTTTATCCATGCAACTGATAGTGGGTGCCTTAGTCCATTTTGTGATGTTATAACAGATTACCACCAATTGGGTAACTTATGTACAATTTAAAGATTTATTTCTCACTGTTCTGCAGGTTGGGTAGTCCAAGATCAAGTTGCTAGGATCTAGCAATGGCCGCTTTATGCTTCTGAAATAACACCTGGAATGCTGTGTCCTCCCGAGGGGAGGAATACTGTGATCTCACATAGCGGCGCATAAAAGAGCAAAAGGAGAACTGGCTCCATCAAGCACTTTTATAATGGCATTAATTCATTTATGATGAGAGTCCTCGTGACCTAAACACCTCACCTGCCTCGCAACTTCATTGCATTGGGAATTAAGTTTCAATATGAATTTTTGGAAGGGATGAAAGCATTCAAACCATAGCATTCTTTCCTGAGCCCTCAAAATTTGTGTCCTCCTCACCAAATATGTTTATTCCACTTCAATAGCCCTAAGTCTGAACTTGTTCCAGCATCAACTCAAAAGTCTAAAATTTACCATCTCATTTAAATCACATATGCATTAAACGCAAGGTATAATTCATCCTGAAGAAAATTTTCCTCCAACCAAGAGTCAAAATCAAGATATGTCCTTTCAAAATACAATGGTGACACAGTCATAAAATAGGCAATTCCATTCCAAAAGAGAGAAATAGGCAAGAAAAAAGGAGTAACATGTCCCAAGTAAGTCCAAAACCCAACAAGGCAAACAACATTCAACCTTAAGGCTGAAGAACAATCTTCTTTGATTCCATGTCCTGTCTTTGGGATACACAAGGCTAAGGGTTGGGCCATCAAGGCCCCAGGCAGCCCCACCACAGGGCTTTGCTGGCAGTAAGCCATGCTTCAGCAGTCACATGCTTGCAGCTTTTCCAGGCTATTGGTGCACACGGATGGCTCTACAGTTCTGGGGCATTTTGGGCTGTCCTGCCCCCATGGCTCCACTAAATATCCTCCTGGTGGGGGCTCTCCATAGTGAAACTTCTTCTGCACCCTGAGGCTCACTGATGCATCAGTTGAAGTCTAGGTAGGGGAAGCCGTGATTTCATGGCTCTTGCACTCTGTGTGAAAGCATAATTAGCACCACGTAGACACTGCCAAGGCACAATGCTTGCATCCTCAGGAGCAGAGGCCCAAGACACACCTGAGCCTACATGAGTTGTATCTGGAGAAGCTGAATAGCACTGGATCAAAATGTGGGGAACAGAGACCAATGACAGTCCTGTGTAGTGAGTCTCAATGTCCTAAAGGGGTCCTGGGCCCCTCTCCAAAAACCATTCTGCACCCAAGGCCTTAGCACTCAAGGGCCTATCATGGACATGGCATCCCTGAAAATATGGGAAAATTTGTGGGGTCATTCTTCCATCATCTCAGTGAATAATGCCTGGCTTCCTTGTATCCTGATCTCCGTATCAAACTACCCTTTAGTCGCACCGTTGGTTTTCTATCCTAAGCATGCTTTCTTATTTTTTACATGGAAGGTCTGAGAATTTTCCAAATATTTTCCTTCTACTTCCATTTTAATTAAAAATCCTATGTTTAAATAGTTTCCCTCTTCTTGTGTTTTACAATAGTCAAGCGAAACAACACAGTATATCCTTAATGCTTTCCTGCTTAAAGATTTTGTCCACCCCTATATCTTAGTTCATCACTATTAAGTTCTGCCTTCCACAAAGTCTTAGGACATAAACACAATTCACTCAAGTTATGTGCCACTTTAAAACAAGGATGGCGTTTTCTCCAGTTTCTAATATCTTGTTTCTCATTTCCATCTAAGACCTCATGAGAATGGCCTTTACTGTCCATATCTCTATCAACATTCCATTCACAACCACACAAGTAATCTGTAAGAATGGGGCTTCTTTTATTTGCCTTTTCTTCTCAAGCCTCACCAGAATCATACTTAATGCTCCATTAATGGCAATCCAGGCTTTATCAAGCATTTAATTCTAAACTAGTCCAGTCTCTTCTCATTACCCACCTCCAAAGCCATATCCACATTTGTAGATATTTGTTTCAGCAACATTCCACTTTTTTGATACTGATTTCTCTTTCAGTTTGTTTTGTGCTACTAAAGCAAAATACCCACAGACTGGGTAATTCATTAAAAATGAGGATTTATTTCTAGCAGTTTTAGAGGCTGAGAAGTCCAAGGTCATGGTGCCAGCATCTGGTGAGGTCTGCTTTCTGCTTCCAAGATGGAACCGTGAAGACTTCATATTCCAGCGGAAAGGAACACTGTGTCCTCAAATGGTAGAAGATGAAAGAGCAAGAGGGAGAAATTTTCTCTATCAAGGCCTTTTATAACATCATTAATACGTTCATGATGGCAGAGTCCTAATAATCTATATGCCTCCCAAAAGGCCCTATTTCCCAACACTGTAGCGTTGGGGATTAGTATTCAATGTAAATTTCTGGAGGGGACAAAATATTCAAGCCATGTTAATGGACATTTCAGTTTTGGACTATTTTAAGTAAAACTCCCGTGGATATTCACATACAAGTATTTGTGTGGACATCTATTTTCATTTCTCTCATATAAATTCATAGGAATAGAATGGATAGATCATACAGTAGGGGTATGTTTAATTCAGACTGACTTCATTGAGATAAACTAAACTTTATAAAAATAACTAATCAAGTAAGAAAGTGTGATGTTGTTATAAAAATAGATAAATAAATAAGGATAAGAGAGTTCTGAAATAAATAATAGACACACATCTATATATAGACAACTAATTCTTAACAAAGGTACAAAGGCAATTTATGCAGAAAAGATAATATTAACAACAAATTATTCTTGACAAATTGGATAATCTGTTTTTTAGAAAGAGTTTTTATGCCTTATATTATATTTTTTAAAATCTCAAATATATAGTAGATTTAAATGCAAAACCTGAATTTATTAAACTTTCAGAAGAAAATTCACTGGAGTAAAACTTTTCAACCTTGGGATTGCAAATAATTCTTAAGTACTAAGCCAAAAATACAATCTATAAATAATCTGCTGATGACTCTAACATTATCAAAATTAAGAATGTCTGCTCTTCTAAAGACAATGTTAAGATAATAAAAATAAAAAAATGCAGACTGAGAAAATAGTTACAAATAAATTAGTTGATAATGGTACTTTACCTGGAATATATAAAGAATTCTTAAAACACAATAAAAGAATATTTTCCGATATAAAAAGTGCAAAATTTAAACAAATACTTTAATGAAGAAGATATAGAAAACAAAGAAGCACAAGAAAAGACACTCAAATCTATCAGTTATTAAGAAAATACAAATTGAAACCACAATATGATACTACTATGCACTTATTAGACAGACTAAAATGTAAAAACCTGACAATGGCAATTGTTCATGAGAATGCAGAGCAACTGATATTCCTCTATACTGCTGGTAAGAAATGTAAAATGCCTTATCCATTGAAAGAAACAGCATGGCAATTTTTATTTTTCAAAACTTCAAACCCTTTTTTGATAAGTGTGAAATGTTTTTGGCATTTTTAATGTAATTTAATTTTAATATAATTGAATGTTACTATAAAAAGTATGAAAATAATGATTTATAGTTTTTCTTTGCTTGTAAACTTTCTACAAGTTCCCTGTGAAAATAACCCAATTATTAGAGAAAGCATCCGTCACTCACTAGAGTAAAGACAGAAGTATCCAAGATTATTTGTTAAATGGCATTTACCAGCTGGAGTGAGAAAAAGACATTCTCAAGTCGGTACAAATATTTGATATATTAAAATACAGTTAACTTTGAAATTACAAGTACAGAAAACAAAGTTATACCTGTTAAGTGGAAGTATCAACTGCAGGTTTCCCATACTCAGTGAACTCAGTCAAGTTTCTTAAGAGCACTGTGCTCTCGTCCCTTCATTTGCAAAATAGAGCGAACCTAACTCACTGGTTTATTTTGAAGATTAAATGATTTAATACACAAAAAATGTTTATACTCTAACTTTCCTACAAGAATTCAAAAGATATTAGTGCTCGTTATTTTAGACAGATAAAAGTTACTAGAAAGCACTTTGTGGTGAGAGGGGCAAAGCAAAATAGCAGAATAGAAGGCTCCACTAATCATCCTCCCTGCAAGAGCACCAATTAACAACTATATACACATAAAAAGCACCTTCGTGAGAAGCAAAAATCAGGTAAGCACTTACAATACCTGGTTTTAACTTAATATCACTGAAGGAGGCACTGAAGACATCAGAAAAACAGTTTTGAATTGCTGATGCAACCCCTCCCCTACCTCATGGCAGTAGCCGCGTGGTGCAGTGAGTGATTCTGTGCACTGGAGAGATGGAGAGTTTAGCAATTGCGAGGCACTGAACTCAGTGCTGCCCTGTTACAGCAGAAAGAAAAGCGGGACCAAACACAGCTGATGCCCACCCACAAAGGGGCCATTTAAACCAGTGCTAGCCAGATGGGAATTGCCGGTTCCAGAGGTTGGAACTTGATTTCCCACAAGCCTCATCACCATGAGCTAAAGTGCTCTGGGACTCTGAATAAACTTGAAAGGCAGTCTAGGCCACAAGGAATAAAAATCCTAAGCAAATCCTAGTGCTGAACTGGGCCCAGAGCCAGTGGGCTGGTCGGGGCCGATGTGACATACTGAGACACTGGATAGAGGGTGGGCTAAGGGAGCGCTGGCTTTGGGTCTGACCTAGCATAGTCCCAGGGGTGGTGGCCACAGCAGTGCTTGTGTTACTCCACCCGCAATCCAGGTGGCAGAGGAGAGAGAAAGAGAGAGAGAGGGAGAGAGATGCTGTTTGTTTGGGAGAAAATAAGGGAAGAGAAAAAGTTTCCAGCTGGTAATCCAGAGAATTCTTCTGGATCTTATCCAAGGTCATCAAGGCAGTACCTTTATGAGCCTGTAAGAACCACAGAATTACTGGGCTTGGGCGCCCCCTAAAGCAGATGCAGCTTAGATCTTAACACAAAAATCCTTTCTTTTTTTGTTTTTAATTTTATTATTATTATACTTTAAGTTTTAGGGTACATGTGCACAATGTGCAGGCTCGTTACATATATATACATGTGCCATGTTGGTGTGCTGCACCCATTAACTCATCATTTAACATTAGGTGTATCTCCTAATGCTATCCCTCTCCCCTCCCCCCACCCCACAACAGTCCCTGGAGTGCGATGTTCCCCTTCCTGTGTCCATGTGTTCTCATTGTTCAATTCCCACATATGAGTGAGAACATGTGGTGTTTGGTTTTTTGTCCTTGCGATAGTTTGCTGAGAATGATGGTTTCCAGTTTCATCCATGTCCCTACAAAGGACATGAACTCATCATTTTTTATGGCTGCATAGTATTCCATGGTGTATATGTGCCACATTTTCTTAATCCAGTCTATTGTTGTTGGACATTTGGGTTGGTTCCAAGTCTTTGCCAAAGGATTATAAATCATGCTGCTATAAAGACACATGCACACGTATGTTTATTGCGGCACTATTCACAAAAATCCTTTCAAACAGCTGGAAAGCCTTTCCAAGAAGGATGAGTACAAACAAGCCCAGAATATGAAGACTACAATAAGTACCTAACTCTTCAGTGCCCAGACACAGAAGAATATCTATGAGCATCAACACCATTCAGGAAATCATGATCTCATCAAATGAACTAAATAAGGCACCAGGGAATAATTCTGGAAAACACAGATATGTGACCTTTCAGCCAGGGCATTCAAAACAGCTGTTTTGAGGCAACTCAAAGAAATTCAAGATAACACAGAGAAGGAATTCAGAGTTCTGTCAGATAAATTTAACAAGGAGATTGAAATAATTAAAAAGAATCAAGTAGAAATTCTGGAGTTTAAAAATGCAATTGACATATGGAAGAATGCATGAGAGTCTTTTCATAGCAGAACTGATAAGGAGAAGTAAAACTTGGTGAGTTTGAAGATGGGCTATATGAAAACAAAGAGTCAGAGGAGATAAAAGCAAAAGGAATCAAAAGCAATGAAGGATACCTACAGGATCTAGAAAATGGCCTCAAAAGGGCAAATCTAAGATGTATTGGCCATAAACAGAAGGTAAAGAAAGGGTGTAGAGAGTTTATTCAAAAGGATAATAACATAAAACTTCCCAAACCTAGAGAAAGCTATCAATATCCACATCCAAGAAGGTTATAGAACACCAAGCAGATTTAACCCGAAGAAGACTACCTCAAGGCATTTAATAAGTAAGCTCCCCAAGGTCAAGGATAAAGAAAAGATGCTAAAAGCAGCAAAAGAAAAAAAATGCTACACAATGGAGTTCCAATTGTATTGTATGCCTGGCAGCAGACTGTTCAGTGGAAACCTTGCAGGTCAGGAGAGAGTGGCATGACATATACAAGGTGCTGAAGGGAAAAAAATAAAACAACAAAAAACACCTCTTACTTAAAATCATATATCGGGTGACAATGTCCTTCAAACATGGAGAAATTAAGGCTTTCCCAGACAAACAAAAATTGAGGGATTTCATCAGTACCAGAACTGTCCAACAAGAAATACTAACGAGAGTACTTCAATCAGAAAGAAAAAGACAATAATCAATAAGAAATCATTTGAAGATCCAAAACTCTCTGGTAATAGAGATTATACAGAAAAACAGAATATTGTGACACTGTAACTGTGGTATGTAAACTATTCTTAAGCAGAAACAGTAAATGATGAATGAATAAAAAATAATAACTACAACAATTTTCAAGACATAGCCAGTACAAGAAGATACAAATAGAAACAATAAAATAACAAGCAGGAAAATAAAGTTAAGGCACAGAGTCTTTTATGTTAGTTTTCCTTTTGCTTGTTTATGAAAATAATGTCAAGCTGTTATCAGCTTAAAATGATGAGTTATAAGATAGTATTTGTAAGCCTCTTGGGAACCTCAAACTAAAAAATATACAGCAAATATAAAAAAATAAAAAGCAAGAAACTGAATGATAGCCTTAGATGAAATCACCTTCACTAAAAGGAAGATAGAAAGGAAAGAAGGAAGAGAAGATTATAAAACACAACCGGAAAACGTCTAACAAATGGCAGGAGTAAGTCATTACTTATCAATAATTACATTGAAGGTAAATAGGCTAAACTCTCCAATCAAAAGACACAGAGTAACTGAATGGATTAAAAAAAAAACAACAAAAACAAAACAAGAACCAATAATTTGTTGCCTGCAAGGAACACACTTTGTCTAGAAAGAAACAGATTGAAAATAAGGGTATGGGGACAAAATAGATTTCCAGACAAGAAGTATAAGAAGAGACAAACAAAGTCACTATGTAATGATAAAGGAGTCAATTAAGCAAGAAAATGGAACTATTGTAAATATATGTAAACCTAACATTGAAACACCCAGCTATATAAAGCAAATATTATTAGAGAGAGATATGCCCCCAATAAAATAATAGCTAGAGAATTCAACACCTTACTTTCAACATCAGAGAGATCTTCCAGACAGAAAGTCAACAAAGAAACATCGAGCTTAATCTCCAGTATAGATCCAACGAACCTAACAGACATGTGCAGAATGTTTCATTCAATGCTTGCAGAATACACATTCTTTTCCTCAGCACATGAATTATTCTCAAGGATAGACCATATGTTAGGTTATAAAACTAGTCTTAAAACATTCCAAAAAATTGGAATAATATCAAGCATTTCCTCTGACAACAATGGAATAAAACTAGGAATTGATAATGAGAAATTTTGGAAATTATAAAAATACATGGAAATTAAACAATATGTGCCTGAATGACCAGTGGGTCAATGAAGAAATTAAGAAGGAAATTAAAAAATTTCTTGAGACAAATGATGAAGAAAACACAACATACCAAAAGCTATGAGATACAACAAATGCAATACTAACACAGAAGTTTATAGCAATAAGTGTCTACATCAAAAAAAGCAGAAAAACTTCAAATACACAAAATAACAATGCATCTTAACAAACTAGAGAATCAGGAGCAAACCAAAGCTGAGATTAGCATAAAAAAGAAATAATAAATATCAGAGAAGAAATAAATGAAATTCAAATGAAGCAAACAGTACAAAAGACCAATATAACAAAAAAGTTGCTTTTGAAAAGTTAAACAAAATAGCCAAATCTTTAGCCAGACTAAGAAAAAAAGAGAAGACCCAAATAAATAAAACAAAAGGTGAAAAAGGAGACATTGCAACTGATACCACAGAAATTCAAATAATAATTAGTGTTTACTATGAGCAACTATATGTCAATAAATTGGAAAATCTAGAAGAAATGAACAAATTCCTAGGCATATACGACCTGCCAAGACTGAATCATGAAGAAATATAAAACCAAAGCAGATCAATAACAAATAGTGAGATTGAAGCCATAGTAAAAATGTCCCCGTAAAGAAAAGCCTGTGACGTGATGATTTCGCTGCTGAATTCTATTAAAAATTTAAAGAACTAATATCAATTCTACTAAAAACATTCTCAGTAATAGGAGGATGAAATACTTCTGAACTCATTCTATGAGGCCAGTCTTACTCTGATACCAAAACTAGATAAAGACACATCAAATAAAGAAAACTACAGACCAATATGTTTGATGAATATTGATGCAGAATCCTTCAACAGAATACTAGCAAACGGATCTCAACAAAACATTAAAATAACATTCTTCATGTCCAAGTGAGATTTATCCCTGGGGTGCAAGGATCCTTGAATGTACATAAATCAATTCATATAATAAGTCATATTAACAGAATGAAGGACAAAAAATATGATCTTTTCACCTGATGCCAAAAAAGCATTTGATAAAGTTTAGCATTGTTAATGATAAAATCCTTCAAAAAACAGGGTATAGAAAGAACATACATCAACATAATAAAAGTCATATATGACAAAACCACAGCTAGTATCATACTTAATGGGGAAAAACTGAAAGCCTTTCCTCCAAGATCTGGAACATGACAAGGATGTCACTGTTTCACCACTGTTATTCAACATAGTACTTAACCGGAAGGCCTAGCTAGAGCAAGCGGACAAGACAAATATATGAAAGGCATCTAAATAGGGTTAAATTATCCTTTTTGCAGGTGATGTGATCTTACATTTGGAGAACCCTAAGGATTCCACAAGAAAACTATTGGAACTGATAAACAAGATCAGAGATTTGCAGGATACAAAATCAACACTAAAAAAACCCCAGTAGATTTCTATATGTCAACAGTGAACAATCTGAAAAATAAATAAAAAAATTCTATTTACAATAGTCTCACATAAAATAAAATACTTAGGAATTAACTTAAGCAAGGAAGTGAAAGATTTCTAAAATACAAACTATAAGACACTGGTGAAAGAAATTAAAATGAACAAACAAAAAAATGGAAAGGTATTCCATGTTTGTGGATTGGAAAAATCAATATTGTTAAAATGTTGATACCACTCAAAGCAATCTACAAATTTAATGCAATTTGTATCAAAATATCAATGAAATTCTTCACTGAAATAGGAAAAAAAAAATTAAATGTTATATAATACCACAAAAGACCCAGAATAGTCAAAGCTATCCTAAGCAAAAAGAACAAAACTGGAGGAATCACATTAACTGACTTCAAATTATACTGCAGAGCTACAGTAACCAAAACAGCATGGTACTGGCATAAAAACAGACACATAGACCAACGGAACAGAGTAGAGAACCCAGAAACAACTTCATGCCCCTACAGCAAACTCATTTCCACAAAGGTGCCAAGAATATACACTGAAGAAAAGACACTCTCTTCAATAAATGGTGTGGAGATAACTGGATATCCATATGCAGAAGAATGAAACTAGACCCCTATCTCTTGTCATATACAAAAGTAAAATCAAAATGGATTAAGGACTTAAATCTAAGACCTCAAATGATAAAACTGATTAAAAAAATTGGATAAACTCTCTAGGACATTGGCCTGTGCAGAAACTTTTGAGTAATGCCCTACAAGCACAAGCAACCAAAGCAAAAATACACAAATGGGATCACATCAAGTTAAAAAGCTTCGTCACAGTGAGGAACCCACAGAATGGGAGAAAATATTTGAAAAATATGTATTTGACAATGTATTAATAACTAGAATATATAAGGAGCTTAAACAACTATATAGGAAAAAACAATTTTATTAAAACATGGGCAAAATATTTGAATAGACATTTCTCAAAAGAAGACATACAAATGGCAACAGGTACATGAAAAGATGCTCTTGATCATCCAAGAAATACAAATCAAAATTACAATGAGATAGCATCTTACCCCAGTTAAAATGATTTATATTCCAAAGACAGTCAATAAGTCCTGGAGAGGATTTGCAGAAAAGAAAACCCTCATATACTGTTGGTGGGAACATAAATTAGAACCACCTTTATGGAGAACAGTTTGGAGGGTTCTCAAAAAATTAAAATAGAACTCCCATATGATCTGGCAATCCTACTGTTGGATATATACCCAGAACAACAAAAAAATGTAAATCAGTATATCAAAGAGATATCTGCCCTCCCATGTTTGTTGCAGCACTGTTCACAGTAACCAAAATTTGCAAGCAAACTAAGTGTTCATCAACAGATGAATGGGAAAAGAAAATGTGGTACTTATTCACAATGGAATACTATTCAGCCACAAAAAACAATGAGATGCTGTCATTTGCAAAAACATGGATGGAACTGGAGGTCATTATGTATGTTACCTGAAATAAGCAAGGCACAGAAAGACAAACATCACATTTTCTCACTTATTTGTAGGATTTTAAAATCCAAACAATTGAACTCATGGAGATGCAGATTAAAAGGATGTTTACCAAAGGCTGGAAAGGGAAGTGGGTTTGTATTGGTGGGGAGGTGGGGATGGTGAATGGATGCCACAGAAATGGAAAGAATGAGTAAGGCCTAGTATTTGACAACATAACATGGTACAATTGACGGCAGTGGCCTCTCCAGATGGCCTGCTGCTGCCATCATACCTGCTGCAGCAGGGAGGCGTGGCCAGGGCTGCACTCTCCATGGAGCCAATGGGAGCCAGGGACAAAAGTGATCCCTGCCACTTCTGAGTAGGGGTGGGAGCTCCCTGGCTGCTGCTGCAGCCACCCAAACCATGGCTGCAGACCTGGGCCTCTCAATCCACAGAGCAGGCAGGAAACCCACCCTCCCAGGTGGGGCTGCAGCCACCCAAGTCGTGACTGAGGATCCAAGGGATCCAAGCCTTCCTGTGCTCTTGGGGGCCAGGAGCAGGCAGGAGTACCACCACCTGCCCCCCTACCCCACCCCCAACAAGACAGCTGCACTGCTGAAACCATGGCTGCAGACTCAGGCATCCCTGCACTCTTCGGAGCCTGGGAAGACCCCTCCCTGCCCTTGCAGTCTCGGAAGTGCCTGCTCCCACTGCCTGGCTTCTCCCTGCTGCGGCCACCCGCTCCAACATTGGAGCAAAGTGCAGGCTGACCCCGGGCACCATGAAGGGTAGCAGGAGACAGACATATTCCTAGATGGAAGGGAGTGGGTCCCCAGTAAGGCCTCTCCTGAAGGCTGGGAGCTGGGCTGCCAGACCCACGGATTGGAGTGGGAACTTGTGGTGACTTTTTTGGGCCTTCCCATGGCTGTCCATGGACCAATCAGCATGCACTTCCTCCCCTCTGAGGCCCATAAAAGGGCCGGGCTTAGCCGGAGCAGAGAAGATGATGGGACAACCAGCTGCAGAGAGAAGCTACCCTCTAGACATCAGGACTACTAGCTGCAGAGAGGAGCAACCCACTCCAGGGCTTCCTCTCTGCTAGGAGCTGGGCAGACATTGGGATGAGCAGCTGCAGAGAGGAGCTACCCTCTCCAGGGACTCGTTAGGATAACCTACTGGCAGAGAAGAGCTACGCACTTCAATCTTTCTGCTAAGAGCTGCAGAGACGATGGGATGACCTGGCTGCAGAGAGGAGCCACCCACTCCAGGGCCTTCTTTTTGCTGACAGCTGAACACTCAAGGGGACAACCTGCCTACAGAGATGAGCTACCAACTGCAGGTCACCTCTCAGCTGTTCTAACACTCCATCAAGCTCCACGTCATCTAGCACACCCTCCACTTGTCTGCATACTTTATTCTTCCTGGATGCAGGACAAGAACTCGGCCAAAGGCACCACGGGACACAGAGGTTTCCAGCCAGAAAAGCAACACCCCAAAGATCCTGTAACACTATCTCATCAATAATAATTTTAACTGTACATTTAAAAATAACTAAAAGAGTAACATTGGATTGTTTATAACACAAAGGATAAATACTTGAGGAAATGGGTACCCCAATTTCAATAATATGATTATTACACATTGTATGCCTGTATCAAAACATCTCATGTACTCCATAAATATATACACATACCATGTACCTATAACAATAATTAAAAATTCAGAAAAAAGAAAGCACTTTCTTTTATCAATTATCTCCTGGACTGTGAAAGAGAAAATTAGCAACATTGGGACATGGTATTAGTTCGCTAGTGCTGCCATAACAAAATACCACAGACTGGGTGGCTTACCGGAAATTTGTTTCTCACATTTCTGGAGACTGGATGTTCAGGAGAAAGGTGTTGGCACATTCAATGTTTGGTGAGGGTCCTCTTCCTGGCTTGCAGAACACCTCTTTGCTATGCCCTCACATGGCGTTTTCTCTGTGGGCACTTCCCTGGTGTCTCTCTCTTGCAAGGACAACAGTCACATTAAATCTAGCCCCCAACATTATGCCTTCATTTAACTTTAATTCATATTGAAAGACCTTATCTCCAAATTCAGGTACAATTGGGGGTTATGGATTCAACAGACAAATTTTGTAGGGACACAAGTCAGTCCATAACATGGCATATGATTTATATAAACATTTCTCAGTTTAAATTTAAAATAGAAACTTCCCAAAATATGATAAACATTGAAATACATTGCAACTATATTGTTAATAAGTCTTTTTATTTAAAATATGTTACAATAATATTATGGTGTTTTTTCCTTTTTACTTTCCCAAAGGGCAAGTGTTAAGGTAGGTCAATAAAAAATATCACCATTTTTGGAAGCTTTTCACTTTTTATTTATACCAGTTTTGTATATTTTGTATCCATCATTGGGTTAAGTGACAATATGCAAATAATTGTAAATAATCTTAAATATTTTTGAATATATAAATATATTGGAGAAAATAGCAGTATTTTGTAATAATTAGTACCGTTCATCAATAATTATTATTAAAGATAAATTAGAATTTCATGTTTCTACAAAATAAGCCCATTCTGATACTCTGAGACTCTATAACCATTTGAGGACTAAGAGGGAATTGTACGGTGCAATTTTAACAATCAGCCTAAAGAAAAGCAGTATTTTTATTTACTCCAACTATAAAACAAAGTGACACCTATATAAAAAAGGAAAAACTATATTCAGTGGCATATATTTCTAACCCAAGTTGATGCTATTCAACTGTGTCAGTGTAATATCTTTAGAAATGGTGGTATAGACTTACTTAGCTAGAGGAGATGATTTATTATATTTTTATATGCCCTTTTTCCTCCAAATGTGAGGATCTCTGAAAACTTTTATGTTTACATTTTATGGCATTTATATTTTTCCTAGCATTATTTAGCACTCAGTTCTACATTACAACATGTAAAGGTGATGAAATTGTTGTTTTGTGAGATGAGATAGTGGTATATATTATTTTAGGATAAATGAACATTAATTCAAATGAAGACTGTGTGTGTGAATACAAGTAACTTACACAAATAACAAAACTATGCTTAAAAAAATAGAAAATGCAATATTTTGCCAAGTACAACATATCTATTATAGTTAAGGTTGTTGTCAGCACAAATGTACATATTTATTCCATTTTGCATTGTCATGTTTGACTTTAGCCTTCATGAAATTCTAAGTAGCAAAATTTATGACGTTTCTGTAATAATTCTTGAGATTTATTTTGCTCAATATTAATCTCATAATACCAATATGCATGTTCCCTGATCACTATTTGTTTTTGACCCTGTCAAACAAATGTCCTTCATATACTATTGAATTATTCTCATTACTATTCTTATTTAAATAGAGATCTTACCAAAACCCATTTCATAATGAAACAATAGTTTCACAATACTAAACCCACACTTTATTTAGTTTAAAATTATGTTTGATTTCTACCTCTTTCCAATGTAAAGAGACAATGTATATTTTTTAGGTTTCCTCAATGGAAAATATATTGTCCAAGTTGCTCATGTTAATGTCAACAATAATACATTTAAACTAACAATGAATCATAATTTCTATATTTTGTGCCTCTGGAATTTATGGTTTAATTTGAATCAGATATCAATATAAGTCTAGAGGCAGGACATGGGGGCATTTATGAACATGAAGTAGAGGCAGTATTAGAAAACACAATGGAAAATATGATAAACATTTTACTTAGTAAATAACACTTTAAAAGTCACAAAAACAGAGGAGGAGAAAACAAAAAATAAACCTAACTCTAGTTTACAGAGGCTCCAAATGTGCTAGTTCAAGCCTGAGGCAACAATTTCTTTTCAAAATATTTACTATTTTCACCTAAATTTCAAAACTGAGAAAAAAGATTTCTAAAATTATGTCAATATAATGCTCAAATCATGATGAAATTATAAGAAAAGACAGCAGAATATTGTGTGTCTGAATAGTATATCATAGATTATGTGAAACATCATACCAAGATATACATTAAATTTTTAATGAACATCATGGAAAACCTGTATTTTATGATACTTCTCACCTAAACAGGATTAATTCTTCAGAGTTTCACTCCAACTTTGTGTAGATGTCTGACGCCAATCATAAAATTAATTAAATTGTGACAGGGAGTGAATAAATGAACAATGAGCTGATCTTCTCACCTGCAAAATTACACATAATATAAGGAAGTTTATGAAACTTAAACCAACAAATGAAACAAAAGATAAATTATGCATTGTTAGCTCCAGATAATTAAAGGCAGCACTGTATGGCCAAGCAAACACGCAAACACGATTTCCTAGAAATAAAAGAAATTTAAGCATAAAATCTGTGGAATTTCATGCATTATTTTCTCTTCTCCATGATTGGGTCAAATATTGCTAATTATTCAATAATATAAACAAAATAGAAACTTTATTTCTAACTACATATAGTAGAAACTGTTTTACAAGTGTGCAGAATGAGATACACACAAGATATTGATAACTTTAAGAGTAGAAAATGAAAGTTGGAAATTAGTAATAATTGTCCAACATCAGGAGAAAGAATAAACAAATTGTATTTGATATATGAGATATAATACTGGAATCAGTTAATATCAAGAGACACGAATCTCACATATGTAAATGTAAGCAAAGAAATAGGTGGCATAATATATACTAGATAATGTCATTACACAAACACACAATGGAATACTATTCTGAATTAACAAGAAATTAATTATTGATACATGCTACAATATAGATAAATGCCAGAACAATAACTAAGTGAAAGAAGCAGTACACTAAGGCAACATACTATATGATTCCATTTGTGTGAAATTCTTAGTAAAGTAGATCAATGGCTGCCTTTATCATGTGGTGGAAATAGGAGACTGTAATCTCTCATGAAGTAACTTAAAGGGATGATGGAAATTTTCTAAAACTGAATTTTGCTAATGGTTGAATGAATCTACAT